>NC_000002.12:154156284-154459314 GCF_000001405.40 Homo sapiens
ATATTCATCCAGTGTCTCATTTCTAAGCTATATTTTATAAGAAATTTAAAAGCAAGTGTAGCACATAGTTCCTATCCTTGATAAGCTTACGTAGCATAGTGATTAGGAAGATATATTTTCCCCCATGACACAGTTTAAACACATGAATTAATAAATTATGTGATAATAGTAAATGTAGCTAAATATCAATATTTATTGAATTTTTAGTATGTATCAGCTATATATTAAGTAGTTGAACTGAATTATGACCTGGAATTTTCAATCAAAGCCCAGTGAAGTATATCATATGCTTTAATGTATTTGTTTATAGATTAGGAAACATACTTAGAAAGGTTAAGGAACTTCCTCAGGGTCATGCAGCTGACATTTGAAGTAAGGCTGTCTAATTCTGAGTATTTGCTCTCAACCACTACAGAACACCAAAGAATATAAAAGGGGAAAAGACAAGATAGAGAGTTACATTACTAGGAACTTCATGGAAAAGATGAGGCATGGGTTGGCCCTTGAATAAAGTCTGGAACTTATATAGATATAAGGGAGAACACAAAGGTTCCAAATGGAAAGACAAAAGTCCTTTATTATTCCATCTCCTCATGCACAGAATAGAATGATTAAATAGTGTGTTGAAGAGACTGATCTAATATATTAATGAGTTTATTTGGGAGACGGTTCATACAGTCATGCTGACTTGTCTTAAGTTAAATACTTAAATCACTACTCTGAGGCAGGCTTCAATGCTGTCCATCAGTCATACGATATTTCCCTTGTCTATCCTGTTTTCCACTTCGTAAATTATTATTTTATAAATTCATCACTCCCCTCCCTCACACCTATAATACTTCCTCTCAACCCTCATTCTCATTATCTTACCTTCTGTTTCACTGAGAAAAATAGATGCAAAGAAAACTCCCCCTAGTCTCACCATGGCATCTACCCATCTACCCATTTACTTGAATTTGTAGCCCTTTACTCTGCTTTCTCCACTGTTACTATGAATACATCGTCCATGTTTCCAGTTACAACCAGCCCATCCTCTAGGTGTCCTTTCCTCTTACCTCTTAACTGCTTAAGCACAAGTGCACTGTTCCAACAATTCTACCCACTTTTTTTAAGAGATGGGGTCTCACTATGTCGCCCAGGCTGGATTTAAACTCCTGGGCTCAAGCAATCCTCCTACCTCAGCCTCCTAAATAACTGGGACTACAGAATCCTGCTTACTTCTTTAATCAGTTTTCTCTCTTCGGTTATTCTTACCAGAATGCAAAGATGCTGTTTATCCTCCCTTAAAAACAAATGTATAAACAAAATACTTCTCTAGCGAATGCTTATCGTGGATTTGTTCATTTTTCTTTTCTTATTCCAAAAAGTTCTTGAAAGAGTTGGCTGTCACTCTCTTGAGCCATCTCCGTACCACCATTTTGTTTTGAATTCCCTGCAATTGACTTTTATCCCCACAATACAGCAAAATTGCTATTGCCGAGGTCACTAATGATTGCTATGGTGCTATATTTAACAGTCAATTTTCAGTTCTCATATTGACTTGCCAGCATAATTTGACATGGTTGATTATGATCTCCTTTTTGAAATAAATTTTTCACTTGGCTTTTAAGTCACTACACTGGAATATAATTTTCTCCTACTTTTCTGGTGATTCCTTCCCTTCATTATTTGCTGATACCTTTTCACCCTAACCCCAAGCGTAGATATGTCCTAAGGGTAAGGCCTAAGGGTAATGAGCTGGCTGATTTTCTGTGGCAGTCATTCCCGTGGTAATTTCATGTAGTGTGTCAATGTTCAATATCATTTAATCTGCAGCCCAGACTTCTCCCCTGATATCGAGAATTGAACATCTCATGGTATTCTGGATATCTTCCCTTGACTATCCAACACTCATCTAAATCTTAAGCACCAGATAGTCCCAAACTCAGCACCAGATAGTCCCCACAAAGCCTCGTATTTTCAGGAAGTTAATCCTCTTAGAAAACAGAAACTCCATTCTTTCATTTGCTCAGGCCAAACCAGGAAGTCTCATTGCACCATCTCTTTCTCTTACTATCAACATCTGACTCATCATCTCATTAAAAATATTAACTCTTATCATCATCTTCCCTGCTACTATTAATATTTTAGTCTAAGCTGCTTATATTTTTACCTGAATCATTGTAGCAATCTACTAAGTGTTTTTGTTTGTTTTGGTTTTGTTTTTATTTGTTGTTGTTGTTATGTTTAATTTTCTTTAGCACCCTTCCATCTCTGATCAACATAATAGTCACAGTGTGCCTATTAAAATATAAAGTCCTGTTAAATTGTAAATCAGTTTTGTGCTTATTTCTCTCACTGCAAGGTACAGGTGAACCATACCAAGAACAATTCTACTTTAGGACCTTTTTACTTCCTATTCTCTCTGCCTGGAGGTTTCTCCTGAATATCCACATGGTTTTGCTCCCTTACCTTCAATCTCTTTAATTATGCCTGAGGTTGCAATTTTTTTGAATTTGAAAAATCAGACCTTGGCAATGACCTTGAGCAGTAGGATATAAATAACTCCCACATGCTGAGCATTCCAATAATGGAACAGTAGTCATAAATGGGTTAACCCATTTATCATCTCTCTAAATTCTTCTTTGGCCACATTATATAAAATTACTCCAACCCGTGACACTTTCTACTCCCTTATTCTGGTATATTTTTCTGCTTTGTACTACTGACTACCTAATATAATGAATGTTGTTTTACTTACTTCTTTTCTTTATTATGAATAAGGAAATAAAACATATTTCTTTTCTCACTAAACATAAGTTCATTTAATGCAGTGGTCTTTTTTATTATTTATTTTATTTATTTATTTATTCATTTATTTATTTATTTCTGAGACAGCCTCACTCTGTTGCCCAGGCTGGAATGCAATGGCACTATCTTGGCTCACAGCAACCTCCTCCTCCTAGGTTTAAGAAATTCTCCTGCCTCAGCATCCCAAGTAGCTGGGATTACAGGCACATGCCACCATGCCAGGCTAATTTTTGTATTTTTAGTAGAGATGAGGTTTCACCATGTTGGCCAGGCTGGTCTCGAACTCCTGACCTCAAGTGATCCACCCACCTCAGCCTCCTAAAGTGCTGGGATTACAGGCATGAGACACCGTGCCTGGCCAATTGCAGAGGTCTTTCTAGGGGACTTTCATCTGTATGGTGGGCACTCAATAAATATTTGTTGGGTGAATTTATAAATTAATAAATGATGATATATATTCTGATTGCACACAGAAGATGTGACAGGCAGAAAAACTTGACTTTGATTTTGTAATCAAAAGTAAACTTAATAGGTTTTTAGAGACATACTAAGATGATGAAAGAGGTATAGATCTGTATTGGGATGAGTTAGTGTTTTTTTAATCTATTTTTTTCCCAGCAGGACAGTTTAGCCTGGAGCAGAATAAGAAAAAAAGAGAAATTGAAAATAGTCTAATGTTGGGGATTACTACAGTGTGCACTATAACAAATCAGAGTGTAATTGAGGTAGTCGGAATTTAATGATAGCTAAGAGAAGACTAACACATTATTACAATTAAAGTTGGAAGTCCTTTTTATAGCTTCCATTTATTGAGCAACTACCGAGTGCCCTAGATGCTAAGTCTTCTACCTTAAATCTTCCTCTTCAATCCTTAAATTATGCTTAGAAAGTAAATTGCATTATTCCCATTTTATAATTAAGGGAACTGAGGGAAGAAGAGATACTTTTATTTGGGCTGAACTATTGGAAATGCTTTCTCCTGTACTTTCCTCTAAATTTGTTGCCAGACTTCTCTTCCCAGCCTTTATTTGATTTATCTGAGGTTTTTGGCCATTTTCAGCTATTTTAAAAGTCTCATTTTTAGATACTATGGTGCAGCCTAGTTTTTGGCTAATACTGGTTGGCCTTCATACTCTCCAATGCGGCATGCATTTATATTTTCATTTTTTGTGAGAAGCATTTTGGAGACTACTTTACTGTAAAATTCCCAGCAGACCAATGACTCCCACCTGATTTCTTTCAGTCTCTCTCAGTTCCTGCTTCAGACAGAACACCACGCAAGAACTTGCTTCTGAGGCTCTCTTACCTTATCAGACAGCCCTATAGAGGAGAGACTTGAGTGCAATAATTCTTACCATATCCACTTCCCTGTAGAATTCATGACTCCTTACCACATCCAAATTTGCAAAGGTACTTCTTCAACCACTGACTTTTCCCTACTCAGCCCTTATAATCTTTTTCAAGATGATTCCTGCCTTACATGTCTCCAAACATTAAAAAAAACCAAGTCATGTTACTATCCCATCACATTCTGTCATAACCCAAGGCATTACTTCAGATTATAATTTTATGGCCATTAAACATTTTTGCAAGAGTGAGATGCTGATCTCTTAAAAGCAGTTACAACCTCTGAAAATACATGTTTTAAGATTCCCATCACTTGGCTTAAGAGATAAGAAGCACACTTCTTCCCTTCCCTAGAAGTAGAAAATACCATCATGTACCTAACGCCTTTAAATTCCCTTACTTCATTGAACTGTTCTTCAAATTTCTTATCTTCTCCCACATAAATTAGAGATGTATGATAGATTCACTGTTACAATATCAGTACTGCTATCTTTCCAATGGCTTCTTTTAGAATTTGGGGGTAACTTATCATTGGCTAGCCTCACTTTTCGTACTTGCTAAAATTCCAGGAAGGTGAATTTTTCTTATCTCTATGCTTACCACATTTATCTGTTACCGCACAGTATACAAGCCTCAAAGTCAGGAATTGAACAAATCTCTCTGACTCCAAAGTTTTACTCTTTCTTCTGCTTCCTACTTGAGTTTCTTGAGAGGGTAAAAGACACTGAAATATGCATGCGATAAGGAGGAAATGGTCAGGATACTAAGATTATAAATGTGAGCATAAATCTGTGAAATGCTGCAGTGTTCTTGGTTCAACAACTGTATTCCCATTGTCTAATAAATGCATTCTATATTATTAATGAATATTCTGCTAGAATGTATATTTCTTCATTTAAGAGATCTAAAAGTTCATGACAATTGCATCAAGATGATTGAAGCAGTCTGGAGTAGAAAAAAAAAATAAATGTGAGTCCCACACTGGTATCATTTTAGGGAGTTCAGAATTGGTATGCATTGTGGTAGGAGTAGGGACAGGAGAGAACAACAGGAATGATTACGTGGGTGGCTGAGACAGATGGTGTGGACTTCAAATAAAGAAACCCAGAAGGTGGTGGATAAATAATGATGAGAGTAGCATCGGAGAGTAAGGAAAAATTGGACAGTTCTATCTCAAGAACTCAAGGAATAAAGGATGAAATCAGACTTTTAAATGTTTACTACCTTTAATTATTTAAATGATGTGACAACAAATAACACTTGGAAAATCATTTTTCAATGTTTTTGTTATAACCTCTTATAAACAAGAGGATTAGTTTATAGGAAAAGACAAGGCTGAGCAACATAACAAAATCAAGTGTATTTTTTTTTTTTGTTTTCAGACGGTCTCGCTCTGTTGCCCAGGCTAGAGTACAGTGGAGCGATCTCAGCTCACTGCAAGCTCCACCTCCCGGGTTCACACCATTCTCCTGCCTCAGCCACCCGAGTAGCTGGGACTACAGGTGCCCGCCACCACACCCAGCTAATTTTTTTGTATTTTTAGTAGAGATGGGGTTTCACTGTGTTAGCCAGGATGGTCTTGATCTCCTGACCTTGTGATCCGCCCGTCTCGGCCTCCCAAAGTGGTGGGATTACAGGCTTGAGCCACCGTGCCAGGCACAAGTGTATTTTTTTCTTTTGAAAAATTATATTGTGATTTTACATTCTAACATAAATACTCTATATCAGAAATAAACAACCACTAGAATGAGAAACAGAATGTCATTACACTGGAATGTGGTAAAAAAGAAATTGTTGTTGATAAAAGAACCACCAACTTGTGTATGTGGGGAAATATCTGTTTAACTGTTAAAGTTTTGTGTTATGTAGAATTCTTAAATAACATAATAATTTTTTAAAAGTCACTGAGTGCCTTTCATCAACAGTTTTGATAATCTGAGAGCCTATTCACCTGTGAATGATTTTAACCAAAGTAAATTGCTTCAACTCTGTGCTTAATAGATGGTGTCAGAAGATTGTGGCCCAGAAAACAGGATGCTGAAAGACATGAGATGTACATGAGATACACATGTTTCAGTCATAGCCTGAGTATGGTAGATGTAGTCTAGGAGAACTTGGCTGGGAACACAACACCATGTCTTCATATTCATTTCGAATGAGATGGGGGTAGACAGAGATAGGGTCTTCCTAAAGAAGTATATTAGTTTGTTTTTATATATGCATTATTTGTGTCTTATAAAGAACAGTGTTAGATAAAGAGACAGAGTTAAATACTGTAAGATTTTTATTCTCACTGTGCTTAAAAATAGCAACCAAAAATATTTGTTGGCAGAATTAATCATATTATTGTCAGTTTTACCATTATAAAACAGTACTAACTAGAGTGTTAGTTTGGTGCCACTTTTAAACATATGAATGTATTTTACACCTTCTTTTTTGTGTAGATGAGGTAATGGAAGTCCACAGTAGTGAGCCGAGTTTTCCAAAGTCACTTATGAAAAAGAACAAAACTCTGTCTCAACCCACATTCTTTTTTTTTATTTTATTTTTCTATTTTTTTTTTTATATTTTTTATTATACTTTAAGTTTTAGGGTACATGTGCACAATGTGCAGGTTAGTTACATACGTATACATGTGCCATGTTGGTGTGTTGCACCCATTAACTCTTTATTTAACATTAGGTATATCTCCTAATGCTATCCCTCCCCCCTCCCCCCACCCCACAACAGGCCCTGGTGTGTGATGTTCCCCTTCCTGGGTCCATGTGTTCTCATTGTTCAATTCCCATCTATGAGTGAGAACGTGCGGTGTTTGGTTTTTTGTCCTTGCGATAGAAGGAAATAGAGACACAAAAAACCCTTCAAAAAATCAATGAATCCAGGAGCTGGTTTTTTGCAAAGATCAACAAAATTGATAGACCACTAGCAAGACTAATAAAGAAGAAAAGAGAGAAGAATCAAATAGATGCAATAAAAAATGATAAAGGGGATATCACCACCGATCCCACAGAAATACAAACTACCATCAGAGAATACTATAAACACCTCTATGCAAATAAACTAGAAAATCTCAACCCACATTCTTTAGTACGGTGTTCTGTTACCCATCTCACTGCTGTTGTCTGTTTGACTGACTGTGGCAGTTGTGCTGATTGGAGCAGTTTTCTATTTGGCCTACAGTAGCGAGGATGGCTGTGTGTCCTTTCATATTCTTTAGCATAATCAGAATCATATCTGTACAGTAACAAGCCCGAAGCTATCTTAGGACAGGGATAGTGAATATAGATGAACACCCTAAGAAATAAGTTAATAACAATGGGAAGTTAGTAGAAATGGTGGAGTTTAAGTAGGAGCACATAGAAATATCTGTCGTAAACTGGGTTTTAAAAAAAGTGGACAAGAATTCAGGATAACATTTCTAAAAATAGCTTCTCTGTCATAAGCTGTTTTCCTCAGTTCTCACTCTGTATTTCATAGGTCTTAGTTTTTTTGTTTATAAAATAATAGTATTGACTTTGATATCATCCAAGATTTCTTCTAGCTGTAGGATTTCATCTTAAAATGAAGATGTCTTAAGATATAAACTCTTCCTAATTAAGATTACTGAACCATTTGGCATGCCAAATAGTGCAAAGCTTTATATCATACTGAATCACAGATGCTGAAGTATTTATAAAACATTTTAGTAGGCATCAATGTAGGCATAGTGTAGGCATTACATAGAATTATTCTAATGTCCCAACATATGAGACAGGAAAAAATAGTTAAGAATAGAGCATGGAAAAAAAAGGGGTGAATCTAGGAATTCACAATCTTTATCAGGAAAAACTGGTAATAGGGGTAAATTACCATATAGATGATCACCCAAAAGGTGATCTTTGGGCAATTAATTGCTTAAATATAAGTGAAATATCCATAGATCATCTATAGCATTCTATTTCTGTGTAACATTAATTATATTTGAAATTTGGAGTTATAGCTTAAATTCTTCAAATATTTATAAGATTTCAACAACTAGATATATTTTTTGACAAGAGGTAATAGAAGCATGAGATACTTGTCCTTCAAGGAAAGATACGACAGATTTATTACAACACACACAAAATCTAAACTTGGTATCCAGAGAAACAACATATATAGGATGTGAGATTCAGGAGAACAAACTCTGTTGACTAAACAGAGAATTGTTATGTTAAGTTAAAAGGTTTTTTCAATTATCTACTCAAAAAGTTTATTTAGCTTTAATATTGAAAAGTTCTTTGTAAGGAACATAAGAAAACGTGACGTGGCAGCCTCAAATACTAGAAATTTAAATTTAGAACTTGATTATAGAATGAATATTTGAATTTGAGCACACACATGTGCACAATCTATACAAATTTAGAATTCAGAAAATCAAAAAATCGACCAGGTTTATAAAAACTAAAAAACAAGTTTTTGGTTTATAATAAGTCTTAAGTTTAAGGAGGACAGCAGTTGGGTCTTGTTTTTCTTTCCCCCTTTAATACATTCTAATATCTAGCAAAGTATCTGAAAAACAGTCTTTACTGAATAACGATATCTTTAATACGTTAAGAAACACACTGTTTGAAAAACTGAAATCAAAGTGAAACTCTAACACAAAATGAAAAATGTGTCTACTGTCCCAAGAGTGTTCCAAAAACATTTCAAAGGAGAAAAGCACAGGGAAATAGTAAGATGCTACTTTCTCATTTTTAAGTGAGTGTTAATGTGAGAGAAAAATCAACAAAAATATTTCTCTAAAGAATAGAATAATATAATCTAACAGGGGTCAATTAGAAGACTGATATTTTTCCTTGGGGAACTTTTACCTCCTTCACTGTCTTTTAAGACAAAATTCATCAATAATTTGAAGGAACCATCCTGTTTGTCTGTTTTCCTTTGAGGAAAGTCCTTTCTGTTTAAAGTTTCTTTTTTTTAATTTTTCTTGTTTTCTTCACACATTAGGTAATTATCACCATTTTCAGAGATTGGTAATTAACTGAGACATATGTACATGCTTACGCTTACAGCCTCATTATATTATCAAAATACAAATAAAGTTAGTTTTAGAAAGGATGAACCATTGATTTGGGAATTTAATCATCTTAAGATGTGCTTGAATTGTTTATTAACATTTTATTATTTGTGTTTATATTAAAAATTAGTTTTCATTAATATTTAGAATTCTTGCAATTTAACTTAATAGGAATAGATGCAGCATAACATTCTGATTCCTCATAGTGAAAGAATTTAAAGGATATTCTGGATCTTTCTGTTAGAAGAAGAGGAAATCTAAAAGAAGGATTACCAAAGGGCACTGATTGTAGTTTTGAGCTGGAGAAAGTGAAATTAGACCAAGATCTGGACTCCAAGCTGAGAAGAAAATTACACGAAGAGAAAGCTATTAGCTGAACTCAGTAGAAAGGATATCACTGGGTCAAACTCCACAGGTGGAAAAGATTTTCGATTGATTACCAGTTCAAGAGAGTATTGAACAGAGTCACTTTTTGCTTGACATCTTTGGGCACAAGGTGTTTATTATTTAAAGCTCTGTGTAAGAAGTTTGGGTGTCATGATCTGTGTCTGGTACACTGGTCAGTTTTTCTTAAGGTCTCACGTGTCTAAACAAAATAACTTTTTATTTGTTCCAAAAAACTTGTCTAGAGGAACTCAATTCAGTCATTAAATAAAAATTGTTGGCTGGGCACTGTGGTTCATGCCTGTAATCTTAGCACTTTGGGAGGCTGAGGCGGGTGGATCACCTGAGTTCGGGAGTTTGAGACCAGCCTGTCCAACATGGTGAAACCCCATCTCTACTAAAAATGCAAAAATTAGCTCAGTGTGGTGGCATGTGCCTGTAATCCTAGCTGCTCAGGAGGCTGAAACAGAAGAATGGTTTGAACCCAGGAGGCAGAGGTTGCAATGAGCGGAGATCACGCCACTGCACTTCAGCCTGGGCAATGAAGTGAGACTCCATCTCAATAAATCAAAACCACAATGAGATACCATCTCACACCAGTTAGAATGGCAGTCATTAAAAAGTCAGGAAACAACAGGTGCTGGAGAGGATGTGGAGAAATAGGAACACTTTTACACTGTTGGTAGGACAGTAAACTAGTTCAACCATTGTGGAAGACAGTGTGGCAATTCCTCAAGGATCTAGAACTAGAAATACCATTTGACCTAGCCATCCCATTACTGGGTATATACCCAAAGGATTATAAATCATGCTGCTATAAAAACACATGCACACATATGTTTATTGTGGCACTATTCACAATAGCAAAGACTTGGAACCAACCCAGATGTCCATCAGTGATAGACTGGATTAAGAAAATGTGGCACATATACACCATGGAATATTATGCAGCCATAAAAAAGGATGAGTTCATGTCCTTTGTAGGGACATAGATGAAGCTGGAAACCATCATTCTGAGCAAACTATCGCAAGGACAGAAAACCAAACACCGCATGTTCTCACTCATAGGTGGGAATTGAACAATGAGAACACATGGACACAGGAAGGGGAACATCACACACCGGGGCCTGTTGTGGGGTGGGGGGAGTGGGGAGGGATAGCATTAGGAGATATACCTAATGTAAATGATGAGTTAATGGGTGCAGCACACCAACATGGCACATGTATACATATGTAACAAACCTGCAAGTTGTGCACGTGTATTGTAGAATTTAAAGTATACTAATAAAAATGAAAATAAAATTAAAAAGAAAAATAAATAAATAAATATTGTTAGGGCCTATCAGGTTCCAGGAATTGTGCCAGATCCTGTAATTGCAAATATGAGTAAGGCATATTCCCTGCCATTGCAGAATTTATCTTGTAGTTGAGCAAAAGTGAAAAGTACACAGAAAACACCTTGTATATTAGAAAACATAGCATGGTCAATTGATCTGTTTCTCTAATAGGCACATATAGCACTTTTAAAATTGTATTCTTCTAGGGTTGATAGAGGAATTCTATTACTAACTGAACTTTGTTGATTAAGCAACTTTCAGATATTCGAATATTTGAAAGGCTAAAAAAAAGGCAGCCTCTTCTTTGAACAAGCTTTTAGGAGTGATCACTCTAACAGCAAACATCTCCTTTGCATGTAAAATTAAGCAAAAACTTTTCTTTTACTCCTTTCCTTTCCATTCTCCTTTTTTCCTACCACTTCAGCCCAAAGCCCTAAGGTGGCACTGAACACAGAGGGAGGGCAATGGTCAGTGTGAGTAGAGAGACACAACTTAATGTAGGGAGAGAAAGGCATCCATGTGTGACCACATATGTGGGTATAAGTAGAGCAACCACATGGCATCAGAGCCCAAGCAGGTTGAGGATAGAGTCCTGATAGAAAGGCAGCCTTGCTTGGGGGGCGAGAACCTGTGCAGGTTGGTACCAACAATCCTATGGATGGTACCCTGGTATGGCATGTCAGAACCTGAGCAAGGTAAAGAAGGCATCCTTGTAGGAGGACTTTTCAAAATGCAGTGTAAGAGCCTGACCAGAGTAAAGAGTATTTTCACATGGGAAGGGTACTTTCACCCAGCGAAGTTGGAGTGCCAAAGCCAAGTCAGGTGGGGAGGGCATCAGTGCATGGAAAGAAAGCAGTTTGCCCTTCGGATCTGGAGTCCAAGTGGGGTGGGTATGTTGTCCATGCAGTATCTGGCCCAGGCAGGGTGTGGTATGGAGCCTGGCCAACGTGAAGTGGTCTGGTGTATGGCAGGGTAGTGCAGAGCAGCATGTCACAGAGAGATTTATTTTAAGGAATTGGTTCACATGATCATAGAGGCCGACAACTGCAGAATCTGCAGAGTGTATCGGCAGACTGGAGACCCAGGGAAGACATGATGCTTCACTTTAAATTCAAAGGCATCCTACCGGCAGAATTCCCTCTTCTTCAGAAGAGGTTAGTCTTTATCTATTAAAGCCCTCAACTTATTGGATGAGATGCACCCACATTATGGAAAGTAATCTGCTTTACTCAAAGTCTACTAATTGACCTAATTTCATCTAAAAAATACCACTATAGAAACATCTAAAATAATGTTTGACCAAATGTTTTGGTCCATTAGTGTTGCTACAAAGGAAAACTTGAGACTAGGTAATTTGTAAGGAAAGAGATTTGGCCGGGTGTAGTGGCTCACACCTGTAATCCCAGCACTTTGGGAGGCTGAGGCAGGCAGATCACAAGGTCAGGAGTTCAAGACCAGCCTGGCCAACATAGTGAAACCTCATCTCTACTATTAAAAAAAAAAAAAAAAAAAAGTAGCCAAGCATGGTGGTGGGTGCCTGTAATCCCAGATACTCAGGAGGCTGAGGCAGGAGAATCACTTGAACCCGGGAGGTGGAGGTTGCAGTGAGTGAGATTGCACCACTGAACTCCAGCCTGGGTAACAGTGTGAGACTCTGTCTCAAAAATAAATAAATAAAAAAGAGAAAGAAAAGAGATTTATTGGCTAATGGTACTGTAGTTTCTAGTCCATACACGAAGCATGGTGCCAGCACATACATCTGGAGAGGGCCTCAGGCTGCCTCTACTCATGGTGCAAGGGGGAGGGGAGCCAGTTTGTGCAGAGATCACATCATGACAGAAAAGACAAGAGAGAGAGACAGAAAGGAGGGAGGTGATAGGCTCCTTTTAACAACCTGTTCTCTCAGGAACTGACACTGCAACACTCCCTCACTCCCCGCTACCACCACAGGGGACATTAATCATGAGGGATCCATCCCCATGACCCAAACATCTCCCATTAGGCCTACCTCCAACCTTGGAAATCAAATCTCAACATGAGTTTTGGAGGGGAGGGGTCAAACAAACCATATCCACACTATAGCAACAAATATCTGAGTATTTTAGCCTACTCAAGTTGATACATAAAATTAGCCATCACATTTGGGAAATAGGCTCTGAGGTATAAGTAGTCTCATTATGGCTGATTTTAAGCTATCAACTTCACGTCACTGGATGTAAACTACAGAAGAATTATATGAACACAACCAGCTCTTGTGAGCAGGTATTAGCCAGCAGCAGCATACCACTGAGTTGACTTGAGTTATGAAGTCTGAATGGAATCTTCTTCCAATCCTATGGAGGGTTTTGAGAATGGGACACGACACCCTTCAAAACTGCCCCATATTGGCACTAGTGAGTGAGTCAGATCACTATGCCCTGAATCAATCAATCCTTGGATACAGGCTGCCTTCAGAAGGGGGCAAGGCTTTGAGAAAGGCAGCTCTCTTCAATTTAGGCAGTTTTCAAAGCTGGGCTGATAACTGGAGCTGCTCACTGGCAGCACTCCGGGTAAGTTTGGTAATAAGTTACTTAATGGTGGATGAGGATCTAGGCAGCACATCGTAGCTTCATAGCACCCACCGTATTCAATGATGAGTCTCCGTGATTGGGTCTCACTAAATCCATAAAAAGAAATTGGAGGCTGACTCTCTCTCTCTCTTTCCCTTAGAGAGAGAGAGTAAGAGAGAGAGAACCCAGTTACATCCAGAGTTCTAGGGAGCAGAAGCACAGTGCTGCAAGGAAGAAACTTCAGCTGAATTTCAGGCAGACCAAGGCTCAACTGAATTTCAGGCAGACCAAAGCTCAAATTCTAAAAGTATTATTTTCTTATTACCAGCTTAGTTGAGTCATAGAACTAGTCTTTCATCATTGAAAGTGTATACTTTTAATTGTTAGGGCTACTGTTTTAATCAGGGTTTCCAGCTGCAGAAAAGAAAGATTATTTGCCTTTTTCCTGCCTTCTTGTTCTATCTGGGACCTTAGCCAATTGGATGGTGCCTGCCCACATTGGATGAGGGCGGATCTTCCTTACTCAGTCCACTGAGTCAAATGCTAATTTCTTCCAGAAACACCCTCACAGATATGCCCAGAAATAATGCTTTTCCAGCTATTTGAGTTTACCTTAATTCAGTCAAGTTGACACATAAAATTAACCATCACACCCACCAAAACTGTATTCAATAAGGGAAAGGTAGGAGATTTGATGCTGGACTGCTATCCACGTTGTTTACAGTGACCATATATATGATTGACTCAGGTCTACACCTGCTTCCTGGAATAACTATAATAACTGCTCTTTTACTCCCCAAAGAGCCCAGTTTGAGCAATAAATTACATTGTTATCCTAATATGATTGCTTCTACAAGACAGGCAGAATAGCAAGCATAGTGCCAGATGTCACAACCTTTCACTGCCATGTGAAACCTGGGAATAATAATAATAATACCTTTTAAGACTGTCATGGGAATTAAATAAGATAAAATATGCAAAAATATACATGCTAAGTTATTGGAATAGCACCTAAGTATTATTATATTTTCCTTGTGATGGCATTTTATATTGCCCCAAAATGAGTAAATATTAAAATGTCCCTACAATAGAATTCCAACATGAAAATATCCAGTGCCAATAATAAAAAGAAAGAAATGATTGATTTTTAAACAAATGAATAATACTCTGGAACAACTTGGGTAGTTTGCTGGAGAAGCTTTCAATGCAGAAGTCTTGGGTCAAACCCAAAATCTTATAAGCAGTAGTTGTTTTTGGGTAATTTGCTTAAACTTTCTCAGCCTTGGGTCTCTCAATTATTGGGTTGTAAATTATCAAAAGAATATCTTTAAAGCCCATAGTATCTTCCTGGCCCTCTTAGACACTCAGCAATGTTAATTTCCCTCTCCTGGCTGAAAAAAGTAACTGAGGTTAGGAATATTTTTCAGACCAAACAAATACATGGAGGGCTTGGAAGGAGTCTTCCAAACTCCTCAAAGCAGAGAGGCTTCCATCCTCAAACTCTCCTTATCAAATAATAAAATTCTTATTTATGGGGAAGGATGGGAGGGAATTAATACCACCTACTACTCTAGAAACTTGTTCTCAATTCCGCTTGCCTTCTACCTACTCCACCAGAAACATTTCCTCATGGCTTGAACGACAATATGTAGAAAAGCATGCTATAAATTTGTGTGTTTTCAATTTATAAAAATGGTTTCATATATTACACCTCAGTTGAAAATCAAGACAATGCATGAGTTGTCAAATCAGGTATTAGTCCCATTTTGCAGATGGGAAATATGAAATCCCAAGAGGTTACTTGACTTGCCTGGATAATACAGTTAATAACTGGAAGAGACAGGCAGGATATGAACATACTTTTCTGAACTCTAAAGTGAATGATTTGTCTGCTTTGGAACACTCTGAAGTCCCTGACTCTGAAATAGGAGCTCCTGGATGTGTTATTAAGACAGGCACAGTGAAGTATGAATACATAAGTGCTAAAGTGTTTCTCAGCTTCACAGCTTGTTTTATCAGCTATTTCAAGACTATTTCCACTTGAGAGTTTTGTACTTCTAGCCTGCTGTGAGTCACTAATGATATAATCCATTTTGGAAATGGTGGTAAATTATGGGTTGTGGTAACTCTGTTATGAACTTATTATTATTAATTACTTGCCATCACTTGCCATCTCAATTGTGTTTTGTTCAGTAAACATAATATCCATGCTCAATACAAAAATTAAATCTTTCTTTCTCATACACACACACACACACACACACACACACACACACAATGCTAAGCCAGTAATAAATTTTACTTGACCTTAAGTTTGAGCCTCAAATATGAATCTGGATTCCTGAAAAATTGAGTTTCTAACTATCTTTGCCAAATAAATATTTTTGAGGGTGAATTTCAAATGACCATGTCTAATAAAAATATTATTTTAAAACTTATTTTTATTTTTTACAGATGCATAATAGATGTACATAGTTTGAGGGTACATGTGATAATTTAATACATTCATAAAATTTGTAAAGATCAATCCATCACCTTTTATGTTTGTCTTTTCTTTGTGCTATAAACATTCAAATAGTTCTCTACTAGCTATTTTGAAATCTACTATACATTATTTTAAACTATTATTTCCCTACTAATGTATCTAACATTGGGTGTTATTCCTTCTATCATACTGCTTTTTGGACCCATTAATCAACTTTTCTTTATCCTCCCTCCCCACTACCCTTTCTGGCCTCTGGTAACCACCAATCTTTTCTGTCTTCATGACGTCCATACTTTTAGCTCCTACTCATGAGTGAGAACACGTAGTATTTATTTTTTTGTTCTTGGCTTATTTCATTTAACATGACGTCAAGTTCCATTCACGTTGCTGCAAATGATAGGATTTCATTCCTTTATATGGCTGAATAATATTCTAGAGTGTGTGTGTGTGTGTGTATGCGCATACATACAGAGCACATTTTCTTCACTTATCTGTTGATGGGCACTTACATTGATTCCATATGCTATTGTGAATAGTTCAGCAGTAAACATGGGCATACAGAGATCTATACAAGAAAAAACTATACAACATTGATGAAAGAAATTGAAGAGTACAAAAAAATTGATAGATATTCTATGCTCGTGGATTGGAAGAATTAATATTGTTAAAATAACAATACTACCCAAAGCAATTTATGGATTCACTGCAATCCCTATCAAAATACCAATGGCATTATTCACAGAAATAGAAAAAAATCCTAAAATTTATATAGAACTACAGAAGACCCCAAATAGACAAAGCAATCATGAGCAAAAAAGAACATGAGTAAAGCTATAGGCATCACATTACTTGACTTCAAAAGTTACTGCGAAACTGTAGTAACCAAATCAGCATGGTATTGGCATTAAAACAGACATATGGACAAATTGAACAGAATAGAAGACCCAGATATAAATCCACGTATTTACAACCAACTTATTTTCAACAAAGATATTGAGAACATACACTGGGGAATGAACAGTCTCTTTGATAAATTGTGCTGGGGAAACTGGATAACTGTAGAAGAATGAAACTAGACCCCAATTTCTCACTATACACAAAAAAACAAATCATTTAATTTGATTTTTTAATTAAATTTAATTAATTAAATTTAAATTTTTAAATTAAATTAAATTAAATTAATAGATTGAATTAAAGACTTAAATCTAAGACCTGAAACAATGGAAGTTGAAAGTCTTAAAGAAAACATTTGGGAAATGATCCAGGATATTGTTCTGGAAAGTATTTTCTGTGTAAGACTTTGGAAGCTCGAGTAACCAAAGAAAAATAGACAAATGAGATAACAAAGCTAAAAAGCTTCTGCACAGCAAATATAACAATCAACAAATTGAAGGGACAACCCACACAATGGGAGAAACTGTTAGCAAACAATTCATCTGACAAGGAATTAATAACCAGAATATATAAGGAGCTCAAACAACTCAATAACAAAAAATTATCTGACAAAAGGTCTGAATAGACATTTCTCTAAAGAAGACATACAAAAGGCCCTCAAGTATATGAAAAAATGTTCAACATCACTAATCATCAGAGAAATGTGAAGCAAAACTATAATGAGACATTATCTCACTCCAGTTAAAATTACTTTTATTAAAAGACAAGCAATAATAGAAGCTGGAAGCTGGCACAGATGTGGAGAAAGGGGAATGCCCACACACTGTTGGTGAGAATGTAAATTAGTACAGCCACTGTAGACGATAGTATGGAGGTTCGTCAAAAATCTAAAAGGAAAACCAGCATATGATCCAGCAAGTTTTCTGCTGGGTATATATCCAAAAGAAAGGAAATCAGTGTTCTTTGAACTTAAATTAGATATAGATAATTTAATTGTGATGAGTTTGCAATTTATGATTTTCTTGATTTGTTGTTTGCAAAGATAATTTAAGGTACATTAAAATTACGCAGTCTCAACCCCTTCACTGATTGGCTGGATGGTCTAAGTGGATTTAGCTAGACTACCTCAGAGTGTTTTCAAATGCTTAATCAAATACTGGTATTCCTGTTAAGGGAAAGTGAATAGGGCAGATGCAATTACAGTTTAAGCTGGGGTGAGCAGCTCTACTCTAGGGCACTACATCTATGAAACCACACAAAAGGCAGACACTGATCTGTATAGTCAAAGACTCTAAGAAACAAGTGAACTCTGGGGTGTACAGGGTAATATTAAATTCAGGTAGATAAATCTGAGGATTTTTTAAGCTAACATAACAGTTCCATGAGCAAGTTGGAAAGCATTTAATGAAATAGATACACACGACCTTTGAAAAGTGAACATTAACTTGTACTTGTCTAAAATAATCCTTTCTAGTCAAAGAAGGTTTTTAAGCAAGATGAGTTTTGGAGTGTTTGAGTTTATTAGGTTTACTTAAAGATATAACCTTTATTTCCTTTCTTCTATGTAAGGATATACAGGAAACTTGACATTTGGTTAATTGACTTTTTACATTTCTCATTGGGAAATAAGACTGAAGCTTTATGAAAATTCAAATCAACTACGTATATGGGATTTTTGTTTCTGCTATGTCTCATTTTTCATTGATGACTACAATAGAATATTATCACGTTTTTCTAGCTGCATGTCTATTATAATAATAAACATTTTCAGTCTTGGGAAATGAAGAAAATCTTCTTGTCAACATAACTGTATTGCTTTCCATATACTTGATTAGAAAGCCTTTGCATATTAAAAAGAGATTTACTGAAGTTCTTATGAAAACTTGAGCTGATATTTCATTTCAATGTGGTTATAATAACTAGTATATTTTTCTTGAGCAAATAATGCATAATATTCCCTATCATTTTGTTAATTTGATTAGACGGGTTATAAATTCAGGTTTTCTAATCTTTGAAAGAACCAGTGAGCCAAACATCTGCATATTCTTACCCAATGAATACACACCTCTGTTAGGAACTTAACTCATAATTGGAGGAACTCTAGCATTCTCTTTTCATTTTCTGGAACATTTTAGTTTATCCAGTAAACACATCAGTACATGACATAGTTAATCTGTTCTTTTCAGATGTTCTCCTGATCAATACTGTGATCAAATCAATTTATAAACATCCACATAGATCACATAACAAGACACTTTCAATGTAATGAGATTCATTCATTCTGTGGAGAAAGACATGAGCCTTTCTACTGTCTGAATAACCACATTTCCATACAGATACTCAATATGAAAGGTGTTAGTCAGGTGGCAGAACTGAAAACTATTCTGGAGGGAATAATTGAAGCTAAATGGGATTCTTAGTGCTAATTTGGAACAAGCAGGATATTTTACCAAGCTGTTTGGGGATTCTTAACCTTTAAATGCCACAGGCTCCTTGGAAAATCTTGTTAAAACTATAGAAACCCTCTGAGAATTAATTTTTAAGTGTACAAAATACCAAAAAATATATATATTGAAATATGGTCACCAAAATAGTTTAAAATAAATGTGTAGTAGGGTAATATATACTGGAAAATTATCTCTATCTTGAGGTACTTCTAATAACTATCATAATTTCAAAATAGTAACAAGCATACATGATAATCCCAGACACTTGCAACTATAATGTTCTTATGAAAAATCTATGATTTATATTATGGATAAAGTACCAGTTATTGCAGTACGTCTATGGTTTGCTGCTTATAGTCATAATTAAAGTAAATGTTATTTCTTACTTAGAAATTAAGGAAACATATTTTCCCCCATCCAAGTTTATGAATTCTAAACATGGACCACTGTCAAGGTAGTAAAAAAAAGGTTAAGAAACCCTGTGTTAATGATTTCTCTGAGAGGCAGAAGTGATAACGAAAACATTAGACTATGCTACATAGATCAAATATACACACAGACACAAAAGAGAGAACATAACCCATTTTGTACTAGAATTTCCGGTTCTTTGTTATAAGAATCTGTGCCTCTTAGAAGTCAGCATGATGCAGAGTATGTTTGTTTAAGGTCTAGTAGAACATATATATTATTTATTTATTTATTTATTTATTTATTTATTTATTTATTTATTTATTTATGGGATGGAGTCTCGCTGTGTCACCCAGGCTGGAGTGCAGTGGCGCGATCTTGGCTCACTGCAACCTCCGCCTCCTGGGTTCTCCTGAGTAGCTGGGACTACAGGCGCCCGCCACCACGCCTGGCTAATTTTTTGTATTTTTAGTAGAGACGGGGTTTCACCGTGCTAGCCAGGATGGTCTCGATCTCCTGACCTCACGATCTGCCTGCCTTGGCCTCCCAAAGTGCTGGGATTACAGGCTTGAGCCACCACACCCGGCCTAGAACATATAATTTAATTAATAAATATTCATTTTAAGAATTCCTGATATCAAAAGAATAACAAGACAGCTATTTGGTTTATGGTACATATTTATTATGGATAATGGTATGAATGATGTTACATAAAACCAGGAAGAGGAAAACCATGATTAAGATGTTCATTTAGTTTGTAGTGTTTCTATTATGGCTATTGTGCTATCCATATTCCCCTAAAATGCTGATTTTTGAAAAGGTGTTTAATATATCTCATTTAACATGTCAAAGCAAAGGGAAAATTCTTAATAAAAATACTTAGTGACTTCATTTTATTTAAATATTTTCTTAGCCCAAATTTATGGTTTTGGTTATCTAGACTATTGTTACTTAAATTGTGGGCCAGGGAGCAGCAGCATCTGCAACTGCATGGGAACTTATTAGATATGCAGATTCATGAGACCCCTCTCCACTCCAAACTTACTGAGTCATCATTTGGAGGAGTATGGCTAAGGAATCAGTCTTTTAAGAACCATACATAATGTTCAACAACAATAACTGCCAGTTAACTACCAATATTTAAACTTAGAAAGATTTTATATTAAAAGAATTCAGAATTCTAATCTCAAGAAAAAAGAAACAGACAAAACAAGGATCTGCTGTGGTACATCCAGACAATGGCATATCATTCAGTGATAGAAAGAAATGAGCTCTCAAACGAGAAAAAGACATGGAGGAACCTAAAATGCATATTGCTAAATTAAAGAAGACAGGCTTAGAAAGGTTATATATAGTTGAAACTCTATGGTTTCAACTATATGACATTGTGGAAAAGGCAAATTACAGAGACAGTGAAAAAGCCATGGTTGCCAGGAGCTGGGGAGGGGGAATGAATAGGTGGAACACAGGATTTTAGGGCATTGAAAATACTCTTGTGATACTACAATGGTGGATACATGTCATTATCCAATGGTGAATCCATACATTTGCCAAAACCCAGAGAAAGTACACCACCAAGAGTGAACCTGATTGTAAACTATGGACTTTATAATAATGCATCACTATTGGCTCAACCATTGTAATTAAAGTAGCGCATTAATGCAAGATGTTAGTAACAGGGATACTGTGCAGTAGGAATAGTGGGCTAGGGGAAAGGGAATATATGGGAATGCTCTCAATTTTTCTGTAAACCTAAAAGTAAAAATAATGCTATTTAATATATATGTACATACATATATGTGTGTCTACATACATACATATGAGGCAGAGAAAGACCAGACCTGAAAAGAGACCTGGCAACACAGGACTATATTTTTGTGTAATTCTGCAGCTGAGTAGTAGCTACCCCTTTTTGAAGGGCCAAGGACACACCAACTTGCTTCAATGCTCAACTTGCCATTTTAAGAATTTGATTTATATACTTCTGGCTTCTGAACCTTTATGACTCAAGTAATGCAAAAGCAAGTTTTAGGAGCAGAATTGGTATTAATTCATTCAGTAATTGCAAATTATTTGCTCTTGAGAACTCTGGGAGAGGATACCACTGTCACCGTCTTCTGTTACTACTGTGCTTACCTGTGATTATTGCTGCAGCTGGGCCAGGAAACATGCCAACCCTTATTCACCACTATAAGTTAGGTGCTAAGATAAGGTAGAAACTTGCTGGAGGTCACACAAGTACACTGGCTGGAAGAGGGTACTCAGAATCACCAGGCTATGCCAAATTGTTTCTGGTTACTTTTTCATTTGGTAGATTTGGCAGATATTTTTCAAATGGAAATTAGAATTTAGTGTGAAGAAATGTTATCTAAAACATGGGAACTGCTAAGGGAATTGAACAATGAGAACACATGGACACGGGAAGGGGAACATCACACACCGGGGACTGTTGTGGGGTGGGGGGAGGGGGAGGGATAGCATTAGGAGATATACCTAATGTTAAATGACGAGTTAATGGGTGCAGTACACCAACATGCACATGTGTATATATATGTAACAAACCTGCACGTTGTGCACATGTACCCTAAAACTTAAAGTATAATTAAAAATAATAATAATAATGTCTTCCTCTCGCTCAATCTGCACACGGAGTTGGTCACAAAGTCCTTAATTGTATCAATTAACATATTCTTCAAGTCTTCTCTCACTCTTCCAGTTCCATTGTCCTCATCATTTGCTGCCTGAGGGTTTGCAATAGCTTCTTAATTTATCTCCCTGTTGCCGGCATCATGGTCAATGTCCTTTCCCATTCAGCCAGCTCCAGTTTCTTTCATGAGTCTGCCAGAATTGTCTTCTAAATGCAAATAGTAATCATGTGGCTCCCTTCCTAACATCTTTCACTGATATTCTAGTCTAACTGCTTTAGCAACATTTAAAACTCCTTCAGACAGCCTTTCTAAGTTTATCTGCAGCCTCAGTCCCAAAGGTGCATTAGGATCCAATCACACAGAACCAATCTGAGATTTTTAGAGCTCTCAGTTTTTTCTTACTGATAAAACTCTTTTACCATGGCGTTCCCTTTGGTAAGATTTCCTTTATTGCCACATCTGCCCAATAAACTCTCACTTATCCTTCGTGTCCCAACAAAATTATCCCTGTCTCTGAAACTCCTTCTACTCTCTTAACTCTACCCCAGGTATGTTAAGTAGTAACCATTACCAGAACATTCTGTTTATACCAATATTATATAGTTTATTATGGTTAATTTTACCTGTCAGTTTCCCTCATCTAGAGAATACATCAGAGACTATTTTTTGTCTATTTTCCTAGCATATAGTAAATACTCAATAAGTATTCCGTGAACAAATAGATATGAGTAAATGAGTGAATGAATCTGCATGTGAAATATATAATGCTGTTTTGCTGATTTCATTACAAATAAATTGTGAAAAGGGAAATTTGCTGGTAAATTACATGTATGATTTAACTTCCTGTTGATTCTCTCATACTCATTTTAAAATTAAAAGTATATACAAAATGTTCTTAACGTCAGGAAGTGTGAGGCAAAACTGTCAAATGTGGAATATCAACTCTGAAAGCAGCCTGATTTTTGCAGGGTTGTATCTTTGAGTATTAAAGAACTTTACTAACATTCATTTGAAATATAATGTCTTGGGTTTTCATTTGTATTATGAAACAGGCCACAAAGACGTACTAAATGCTCATCTTTAAGGGCTTTCTTTTTCTCATCTGACCTTTATAACTGAAAGAAGCTTCAAGTACAATTTCATAAGCAGCAAAGCAGCTTCTCCAGAAATGACATTTGTCAGTATTTCTGGTTTGGGGACCCTCTTCCATGATAAAAAAAAAAAAAAAAAAAATCTTAAAAGGAGTGTTTTCAGCTAACTCAGACATGATTCTATTTGTTACTTGAGTGCATATCCAATCAGATACTCAGGGAGGCAGATGTTTTGGACACACGTTTCTCTATAGCTGACTTAGAGTGCATTTTATTATGTGCTTGGTTTGAAAACAAATTTCACAGCAAACTTTACAGAAGTATGCTGCTTAGTTTGTAATGCAGTTCACACACTCAGCATGAATACCAATTTATGAAGGTGTCATCAAGTTGTTTAAACCAACCCAAACACACATAATACAGATGGCATTGTAGGCATCAGTGCCTGAAAAATAATTTGTGACATCTGTAGCCTTCTCTAATCATTTCAGTTTTTTGTGCTTTTTATTCAGTGACTCTTTTATGCCATTTCAAAATATAAATAGACTCATAACAATATAGAAATTGTTTTTTGAGCATTAAAATGAAAATTTTATTGTATATAATTTTTGTTATTTTATTATATTTACTTTAACATAGCTAGTATATTAAACATTTTGGTAGGTCTTTTTTTCTCCTTGCCTTTTATGGATCTTTTTGTCAGGCAGTTAAACAAACCACTTATTTAAAAAAAAATACAAATATTGCTGTTTAAATTTACATTTACAATTTCTTGCTGAAAGATGTACGTTTCTACAGTTATAAGTACCTGTTAAAAAAATAGATTTGTTTTTTTCTGATTATAAATGTAATTAATGCATTTTGGAAACTTTTTTAAAAATCCACAACCATGTATAAGAATTCTAAAAATCACCATGCATAATAAGCGTAGTTAAAATGTTGCTATTCATAATTCTCACCTTCTTTTTCTAAATTAAAGTCCCTATAGGGGTGTATCTATCTGTATATCTAAATTAACCTGTGTGATAAATATTTTATGGTAGTTGTTTTATTTTTATTTTTTCCTAATATGGTCTATATACTTAATTTCATTGCTCTTTTTTAATGTCATTAACTGGAGATCTTTATAAGCATGTTAGTGATAAAACAAGTGTTAAATGAAAATATAGTTGACCCTTGAACAACATGAGTTTGAACTGCACTGGTCCACACATGTGCAAGGATATTTAAAAAAATAAAAACCATCAACCCTTACCATTGGTGGGTTCCACATCCACAGCCACCGGTGAGTGGTATTGTCAGGATGCAAAACCTGCCATAGGAAAGAGCCAACTTTTCATATCTGTGGTTTTCACAGGGCCAACTGATAGACTTGAATATGTGCAGATTTTGGTATCCACTGCATTCCTAGAACCAATTTCCCATTGATACCAAGGAATGACTATATTGCTTTGAATTTAATCAATACTTTATTGTTGTATATTTAGTCACTTTTATGATTTTGTAAACCATATTGACAGTAAAGTGTTGATTATCAGTAACACTTCGGGGAACAGATTTTAGCACTAGGATGAGAATTTAGAAGGAAATTAACAAAATAAAAATGCATCACTTAAAAGAAAAATATTTTATCCTTGAAGAGAAAACACTCCTCAGCCTTGCTACCAATGAGGCATTTATTTAATACTTATGTTTATAGCATTTCTCATATTTACATTAACATTTTTTCTCTCTGGCAGGTAATTGGTAAAATAACAATTTTAGGTTTTATTACTTGATTTAAAGTGAGTATGTATTTTCCCCAAAGGAATAATTTAAAGTTGAAATGAAACAATGCTATTTTGCTTTTTGAAAAACAAGTTTGATAAATTTTTACGATATGATATATATTTATAGTCTTTAAAGTTTTAACTATAAAATACATTCTTTTTCTGTTCACAGTAAATATTTACTGGATCTCATAGGTAAAAATAGAAGTAATTAATATTCTTATTAATCCTGGATGACTGCAGGTTACCTTTACATATCTCTTACAGGTTGCTCAAAGTATTTTTTCATACTTTAAAAATAAATTACAAATAAATATTTAACATAAATAATATTTCACCATTTTCGTCAGTTCCTTAGTATCTAAGCTAATATTACAAATGTCAAAGTCTACTAATTAGTGTATTCCTTAAGAACATTATTAGATTTTCTCTCTCTTTTTTTTTATGTTTATATGTTATTGGTTATCATTTGTCTCTCTTCCCTTGTAAGAACTTTTAATATGAGAGTCTAATAAGATTAACAGTGATAACATAATTGAAATACTCAGAGATATTTAGGGAATTCTTACCGAATATCAAACACTATGCTAACTATTATATATGCGTTGACTATTTAATTTAGAACCCACTCAACTTGTACTATTTCTAGCTCCCTTTGCTTATACAGAAACAAACGCTTATAGAGGTTAAACAAATGGCCCAACCCAGCAGTGCTAGTAACTTGAGAAATAGAGTTTCAAGCCCAGGGTGTCTGACTCCCAAAGATATGTTAATCATTTGACTACTAAACTTGTAACAAGACAATGTTTCATTTCTTCAATGCATTTCCAGTTGCGCATACTGAAAAGCATAAATTGCTGTTTTTTGTGTGCGCATTTGGTAAAAGTACTTCTACATATTTGAAAGTTGTCAATGTATTCTAAATATCATGATCAGATATATCTGAGCTTCAAATGGCTGCTTTTTGTGTACAATAATATTGGTTCTATTTTGTGGTCATTAAGGATCTTTCTTTCCCCCTATCCATGTGGAATAATAAGCCAGTAGTTCTCAAACATTCATCTTAAAAATTATTGAGGAACCCAAACACTGTTTATGTAGGTTATAACTAATTTTATCTGTTTTATAAGAAATTAAAGCAGAAAAAATATATATTTATTATATGGTATATAATATATAAAAATATGTATTATATTTATATAATATAGGATAATATATTTATTATATTTGTATAACATATAAAATATATTTATTGACATTGGTGTTGACCCCTTTTTAAAATAAGAGTAGGCCTGGCACAGTGACTCATGACTAATCACAGCACTTTGGAAGGCCCAAAGCTAGAGGATCACCTGAGCCTAAGATTTCAATACCAGACTGCGCCATTTGTTTCTCAGGGACAAATCCCACTTGATCATTGTGTATGGTCTTCTTAATGTGCTGTTGAATCCAGTTTGCTGGCATTTTTTTCAGAATATTTGCTTTCATATTTATTAGCAATATTGGTCTGTAATTTTCTTTTCCTGTAGTATCATTGTTTTGGTTTGGTATCAGAATAATGCTGGTCTTGTGGAATGAGTTTAGAATTGTTCCTCCTATTTAATTTTTTTGGAAGAGATTGAGAAGCATTGGCATTGAATCTTCTTTAAATATTTGTTAGAATTCATCAGTTAAGCCATTAGCTCCTAGACTTTTATTTGTTGGGAATAAATACCAAATCAATGTTTTTAGTTGTAATTAGTATGTTGAGATTTTCTATTTCTTCCTAGTTCAGTCTTTGTGAATTGTATGTTTATAGAAATTTATCTCTTTCTGCTAGGTTATCCAATTTGTTTGAGTATAACTGTTCATAGTAGTTTCTTATGATCCTTTATACTTGTGGACTCTCTTTCATTTATAATTGTATTTATTTGAGTCCTCTCTCTTTCTCTGTTGTTTAGTCTATCTAAAAGGTTGCAGACTGAGTATGGTGGCTCACGCCTGTAATCCCAGCACTTTGGGAGGCTGAGGCGGTTGATTGCTTGAGCCTGGAAGTTCAAGACAAGCCTGGGCAACATAGCAAAACCCCACCTCTACAAAAAAATAAAAACATTAGCTGGGTATGGTAGTGCATGCCTCTAGTCCCAGATACTTGGGGGACTGAGGCAGGAGAATCACTTGAGCCCAGGAAGTAAAGGCTGCAGTGAGCCATGATCATGCCACTGCACTCCAGCCTCGGCAACAGAGTGAGACCCTGTCTCAAACAAACAAACAAATTGAAAAAAACTTGTCAATTTTGATTCTCTTTTCAAAAAAAAAAATTCTTAGTTTCATTTTTCTTTTGATTGTTTTTCTAATCTATTTCATTTATTTCTGCTATTATCATTACTATCTTTACTATGTTTTTTCTTCTGCTAATTTGGGGATTAGTATTCTTTTTCTAGTTCTTTGAAATGGAAAGTTAAGTTTATTTGAAATTTTTCTTTATTCTTAATATAGACATTAATTGTTATAGACTCCACAGGGTCTTGCTGTGTTGCCAAGGCTGGCCTCAAAGTCCCAGGCTCAAGAGATTCTCACTTGTTATAACCTTATCATGAATTAACCCATATATTATTTGAATTTATAAATTTATAATATATTTGAACTTATAAATTTATAATAATACATGGGTAAAATATATTATACGAATTTACCCATAGATTATTATAGAATAACCTTCTTTATCTCAATTGTGACAGGTTTTGACCTATAATCTATTTTTTATATACATATACCTGCCTCTTCTCACTTTTTGTAACTCATAGAATATGCTGTTTTACCCTTTGCTTTCAACCTTTGTGTGTACTTAAGAATAAAATGAGTCTCCTGGATACTGTTTTTAATCCATTCAGTGACTCTCTGTGTTTTGATTGAATAATTTAACTTCTTTATACTTGAAGTAATTATTGATTGAGAAGGATTTATTATTGTCATGTTAATTGCTTTTCTGTTTTTTAATTCCTTTGTTATTTTTTTCCTATCTTGCTGTCTTCCTTTGTGATTTTTTTCTTTTCATAGTGATATACTTTGTTTCCTATTCTGTATCATTTACAGTTTCCTCTTTGTGATTATCATGTGTCTTAGTCTGTTTAGTGTTGCTAAGAATACCTGAGGCTGGGTAATTTGTAAAGAAAAGGGATTTATTTGGCTCATGATTATGCAGGCTATATAAGATGTATGGCAAGAGAGAAAACAAGAGTAGGGAGTAGAAGTGCCAGGCCCTTTTTAACAACCAGCTCACACCAGAACTTATAGAGCAATAACTCACTTATTACTGCAAGGACAGTGCCAAACCTTTACATTTTTTCATATAATATATCATTTAAAAAGTTATTGCAGCTCTAGTTATTTGTAATACTTTAATCTTAACTTTTATATTAGAATTAAAAGTGATTTATATACCACCATTAGAGTATTAGAATTTTCTTAATTTGATGGTATACTTACCTTTGCCAGTGAGTTTTATGCCTGCATATGTTTTGATGTTGGTAATTAGTATCTTTTCATTTTAACTAGAAGAACTTTCTTTAGCATTTCTAGTAAGGCAGGTCCAGTGATGATAACCTCCTTAGATTTTGTTTGTTGAAGAAAATAATTATCTTTTTATTTGACAGCTTTAGTGGTTATCAATTTCCTAGTGGGCAGTTATTTTCTTTAAGCACTTTGAATATGTCATTTCACTTTGACCTGACATGCAGAGTGTTGGCTGAAAAATTTACAGATAATTTCATGAAGTTTCCTTTGTTTCTGATAAATTGCTTTTCTATTACTGCTTTCAAAATTCTCTCTTTGTCTCTGACTTTTGACAATTTGATTATCATATGTTTCAGTGAAGATGTCTTTATTCTCAACTAATTGGAATTCTTTGGGCTTTATCAACCTAGATGTTCATTTCCCTATTTGTATTTGAAACGTTTTTTGTCATGAATTATTTAAATAAGCTTTCTACACCTTTCTCTTTCTCTATCCCTTCCGAGATTCTCATAGTATACATATTAATTCACTTGATAGTGTACCATAAGCCCTATAGGTTTTCTTCACTTTTTTATTGTTTTTACTTTTTGTTTCTTTGACTGGATAATTTTAAATTATCTGTCTTTGTGTTCTCTGATTCTTATATTTGATTAAATCTGCTGTTAAAGTTCTCCATTGACTTTTTCAGTTCAGACATTATATTTTTTAGTTTCAGAATTTCTATTTTTTTATAATTTTTATCTCCTTGTTGAACTTCTCATATTGCTCACTTATTGTTTTCCTGATTTTATTTAGTAATCTATAAGTTATGTTTCTAAATGATTATTTCTAAATGATTACCTACAATGAAGAATCTGACTCCATATCAAGGTACTTTCTATACTCTGCCGTATTAAAATGTATTGCCTAGCTTGTAGTTCAAATGGATATTTTCACTCATGCTAAACTTTGTAATATTATTTACTGTTCATTTGGAAAATATTTTTTACTTAATTATTACAGTCTTCCAAATATAGCATATTTCATATTACACTAGTTGGTAGTTTTATGTCATAAAATTACATTGGCTAATAGCATCACCAATCTCATCAGAGAATTTTTTTTACACATTGTAATGCTTTCAAGCTCAAGGTGAATGATACAAGTATTCTTAAATTGTAATTTTTGTTTAAAATCTTGAATTTTTATTATTTTTAAAAATCTACTACTGTCAGCTGTTTACATGAATAGCAGCATTATTTTGTTAATTTTGAAGAAAATATTAGGCAAATTCCCAATTGTTAAATGACAGTTTGTCTGTCATCCATCCTTTCCAGTAACAATGTCATTAGATGAAAAAAACAGATATGTTAGTTTGCAATTCAAACAATCTCATGATTGCTTATTTTAGGCAACCATTATATTTACGTATGTAGCAGAAGTTCTTTGGGCATGCTCTCCGTTTCATCTCACAGAATTTTCAAAAGGTACATGTTGTTGCTGCTTACGTTATTTTTACTGGGAGGTGAAGAATTTAATGATCACTAGTATAGTTTGCTGCCAACTGGATTTCTCTAAGAGGCCAGCAACTTACCTACCATTGATTTTACATCATCAGTACAAATGTCAACTCTGTGACAAAGGCAAATATCTTAGTTTTGCTTTGAAACTAGTTGAGAAACTCTACAATAATCCATCAAAACTTCTTTGCTTGGTTCTACTTGAAACCATATGCCTATGTTATTGAGCTAAAGTAAAATTGTTTTCTCACAGTCCTAGTAGACTTACAGGTTAAGCCCATGACTTTGACCCTGAGTGCACAAAAGGACTAATTTAGAAGAATGTGTTGCATTAATTGTGATTATACTCTTTGCCTTCAAACTTAAACCAAATCATATAGGAAGCCAGATGTCAAAGAAGCATTCTATCATTGCTTCAAGTTTATATATGGTAACAAACTATGTATTGAGAAAGTATCTTTCTGATCATATGCCATTAAGTCTGAGTAGAAATAAGAAGCAAGATTAAATAACAGAACCAAAAAAAAACCCCCAGTTTATTATGAAAATAAAATAGTATCAAAGTAGTCTTACAACTTTTCTAGTTTTATCCCTCTTACAGACTCAGTCTGAATTGGTGAGTTTATTGCCCTATAGAAAACTTCATGGTTATATGAGGAAAAGTGAATTCTGGATTACCAGTTCATATTGCTTAATCAAGATCTGATAAAGCTCTTCAACCTGGTGCTTTTTGTCAAACATATCTGATTTTACTGTATTTTAAATTAAATTTAAAATGTTTTAGACACATAAATGCACTTTTAAAATTGTGTCTAGTATAATTTTAGTAACATTTTTTATTTAAATATTCTCCAGAAACTTCTTGGAACAGTTAAGTGAATGAGTAAGAAAGAGATAGGAGAAAACACACACACACACACACACACACACACACACACACACACACACAACTTCTAAACATGTTTGGAAACCTCAGGTGGAATCCACTCTGAGGGGTATCAGCCATAACAAACATGTTAATATATCACTGTTCACCTCATGATGGTTTCGAAAATTTCCTTTTTTTGAATATGCAGATTTGGGCTAGTCAGCTCAATGGTACATTTATTAGCATGTAAGTTTAAGTCATTGTTTTATTACTTATCCTTATTACACTACATGACTCATTAAAGTTATAGGCATTCTAGGAAGTTAGAGAGACATGTGAGCTCAAAACTGGATGTAGACCTAAACAACTACCTGAGAGCACAGAAAATAAAAACTAGAGATGGGGAAAAGAAAGGCAACTAATTTACTGCATACATACAAAATATTAAAATGGCATTTTTTAATGTTATAATTAAAATAGTTTTTTTGGTGTTTCTGTGACATTTTATTAGGGTTTTTCTGACCATAAGTGACAGAAATGCAAACCCTACTAGTTCATCAAAAATAGATATGTAATGAAGATTGTTCTTTTCTCTTAGTATTGATGAGAAGAATTCCCTTGGTGATTTCACAGAAAAAGTAAGCCAAGAAAAGAGTAGTGATGTAGCTAGGCATCAGGCATTCTCTCTCTCTCTCTCTCTCTCTCTCTCTCTCTCCTGTTTTTCTGTTCATATTAGCTTCATTCTTTTCTCACAGCAGTGCAACTTTCCCCAAATGGTGGAAATATGACCTCCAAGATTTCCATCTCTAGTAACATGACTCTTTTGAACAGATGTACAAATGTCAGGGAAGGAACTCATTTGCCTTTGGTCAGATGAATGCTCTGTAGCCACGCAGAATAATGATAAGAGGTCGGAGTAAGGGCAGTCCCTGCTTGAACTATATGGACTGAGTACAAGGTGTCAACAGTCCCCAAATAAAGAGGGGTTATTGTAGCTGAGGAAGGGATGGATACTAGGCAGACAAAATATAAGTTTGCACTACAGAGATTCATTGTTACAAGATTTTAAAAATCAGGTCAATTAAGTTATTATAAATTATAGTTATAAGATGTATCCATGCTGAATAAAAATTAAATCCATTACTAGGCCAACTGCCAGCTGAGGAAAACAAAACACAAAAAGATGCTATGATTGTGAGCCTAGCAAAGCTTTGCATGTAAATTAATTAGTATTTATTAATGTTAAAGCAAAAAAGATAAGAATATTAATCTCCTAACAGCAAAGAATATTTGATGAACAGCAGACTATTTTCAAATTAGATTGCTGAATATTTCATTTGTCCTTGTATATAACAAATGGAGTAGGATGTGACCTTTTTTTTATTTAACTTTAATGTTATTTTGGAAATAAAAATTATCATGGGGAAATGTATAGGCTATTTCATTCTTAAAGTACAAAGCATATCTCATACTCAAAATATAGTATTTCATTTTTCTGCACATTTCTCTAGATAATATTTTTAAGACTGTAGTTTGACAGCTTACTAATAGGTTGGTGCAAAAGTGATTGCCATTACTTTTAATGGCAAAAACTGCAATCACTTTTGCAACAACTTAATAACTAGTCTTGAATCAATTATTTAAATTTACTATGCCTCAGTTTCCTAACATAAAAAAACGGGCTTAATAATCCAATCCAAAAAAATTAAAATTTTTGAATTAGGTGATTTAAGGAAAACGTTTGGAACTAAGATAATTAAAAAGCTGTTCTTATTCATATAGTTGTACTCTGACCATTCAGACTAGTGTATAGAGATGGAATGGAGATGCTTTTAATGTTCTTATTCATATAGTTGTACTCTGACCATTCAGACTAGTGTATAGAGATGGAATGGAGATGCTTTTAATTATAAATAGGACATATAAAATTTAAAAGTTGGATAATGTTATGGACTGAATGTTTATGTCCCCAAAATTCATATGTGGAAGCCCTAACTTCCAATGTCACTGTATTTGGAGATGGAACCTTTGAAAAGTAATTAGGTTATTAGGGCAGGACCTTGGTCTGATGGGGCTAGTGGCCTTATGAGAAGAGGCACCACAGTGCTTGTTCACTTTCTCTCTTCTCACGTGCACACCAAAAAAAAAAAAAAAAAAAAAAGGCGTGTGAGCATGCAGCAACAAGGAAGAGAGTCCTCACGTCCGCACCTGAGCAGCCATGCTGGCACCCTGATCTTGGATTTCCAGTTTCCAGAACTGTGAGAAAATAAATTTATGTTTTCTATGGTATTTTATTATGGCAGTTGAAGCAGACTAAGACAGATGCAAATTAGAGGTTTACATAGAAAAAAAAAAAGAATGATTTGAAATGGTAAACATAACAGTGTTGTCAGCTTCCATCCCAATAAATATGTCACTAACCACATTTTATTCCACCATCCACTCCTACTATGGTGGAGTAGGATAAGAATGGATTAGTAATAAGTAAAGCTGTTTGATCTACATTAGTAAAAATAGCCTCACCTCATAGGAAAAAAATGGAAAAAGATTCACATGTTTATACCTATAACAGTGCTACTTAAATTGTTCTATTGTTAGCTTTAATATGTAAAATACAGGTGGTTGTTAAAACCATATAAAAACCTGAATTTAAAATGTTTTTTAAAGCTAAAATGTCAGGTCATAAAATACACCGTATTTGGTGTCCTTCTTGTGTGTGTTTTTCGTTATCTTGTTCTCAATGAAATTCCCTCAAATGCTCCTTAGAGGCAGGTTTGCTTGCAGCAGGGTCCATGATGTGAGAGGACTGTAACTCAATTTTCTGATTTAATAGTGCAGTGTTATTCAAGCATGAAATTACCTATTCATGGAGAGCAATCCCCTTTGCCTGGCAAGTCAAGGCTCAAAAACTTGATGTCTACTGTGATTACAGCTGTTGACCCAACCAATTGTTGCTAGAATCAGAGTTAAGTTTTTCTGTATGCCCCACTGAGGAAAATATGTCTCTGTGAACAGCTAAAAGGTGAAAATAGGTATGTAGCTCTCCTTAGAATCACAGCACTATGTGATTAACATGCTGGGTTAAAAAGAACCAAATATAATTATAGCACAAATGGAAAGTATATTGTTTGAACTTTTAGGTTCAGGGATACTTGAAAAGTGTATTTATTTAATTGACATTCGGTTTAAACAAGTTTCTTTTAACAAAAATTCTACCAGGTTTAAGAATTACAGAGGAGGCAAAGTCCAACTCAGCTTTGTCTGTGACCATCTGCTCTATAGGAAACAATGAAAAACAATTTGATTTTCCTCATTAACCTAATCAAACACCATAAGTGCAGTTGTTTAGCATTGCAACCTCTGAAGTATGAAAATTCAAATAGTGCAAACTTGTCCAGGAGTAATTTTGAGCCAGAAATTTTAACTACATATGTAATTGTATTTTTTCCTAGTAATCACTTCAAAAAAGGAAACAGGTGAACCTAATTTTAATAATTTATTTTTAATTTATCCAATATATCAAAAACATGATTGCTTTCAACACTTAACAAAAACATGTCTGATGAGATACTTTATATTCTTTTATTCATACTAAATCTTTGAAATCTGGTGTGTATCTTATACTTAATGGACATCTCAATTTGAAATAGTCATATTTCAAATGCTCAATAGCCACATGCTTCTATCATATTGGACTGTGCAAATCTACCATCCTTAACATCGTAAAATATTCTCTCTGAACTCAAGGGTTTTCAGAACCTTTAAGTGGCAAACACTGGAGATGTGAAATGATTGAGAAGAACAAACAAGGCTGCCTGCTCTAATGAGGTGTTTTCAGTATGATAAGGCTATCTAAAAAATAAGTTTTCTTTTTTTATGCAATGGGAAAAGTCACAAATATTCTCTCACACACACATTTGCACGCGCACGCACGCACACACACACCACTTAAATTTTTGGCTCACTGACTTCTCTTTTCCTGAGCAGAGTAATGGATTAAGAAGTTTAGATGTATTTAGACTTTAGACTAGACAACTACAATTTCAGATGAAAGAAAAGAGCTTGGAAAGCTGCACTTGGAAGCAAGAAAATTGTCATTTTCGGATGAGATTTAACAGAGAGTGATAGGAGAGACTGAAAACATCAACTGTAGGAAGAGAAATTCAGAGGGGTAACATTTTATTGTGCGGTATGAATGTAATCAACCTGAGTAATCCACTCCATAGTTTTTGGTAAAGTTTAAACCACTTTTCAACTTGGAGAGATGCTTAACTGATGATGGTTTTCTGAAAATAACGTGATACCTATGAAACGGGAAAAGTTCCCTTATCCCCCTCACAGGGCGTGCAGTGGGGTGTGGCTCGCTTCTTCGGTGCCCCACCACTCAAAACCCCTTGGGAGAGCAGGCAGATGGGCAAGTTGTGGGGCTTCGACCCCACGGCAGTGTCTAGGGGTGAATGTTACAGCTCCTGAGGCCCCAGTGGGCGTGTGTTACCATGTGCCCTTTTAGTTTAGCCAACCGCTGTTGGCTGTGTTTATCAGCTCAGTTAGACCCCCCGCCTTACAGCAAGCACAGAGGGCTTTCTGTATCCCAGGGTTTCTTGCCTTGGTGTACCAGAAGAATCGGATCACATGTGGGCTTGGAGAATGAGTGCAAGGTTTTATTGACTGGAGGTAGCTCTCAGCAGATGGGGGAAGCCAGAAAGGAGATGGAGTGGGAAAGGTGGTTTTCCCCTGGAGTCGGGCTGCTCAGCAGCCAGGCTCTCCTCCAACCGCCCCGGGGCAAACTGCGCATCATTTCACCAGTCATGGCTTGACGGTGCCTTTCAGTGTGCTCTCAGGCCGGTGCGTTTCTCTCCACGTCCAGCCACTTATCTTCTTCTGTCAGTGTGTTCCTCTCCATGTCCAGCCGCTTGTGTGCCTGCCCGCTAGGGTCTCGGGGTTTTTATAGGCACAGGATGGGGGTGTGACAGGCCAGGGTGAGAAATCCAACATCTGGGTGCGAAGCCAGGAGTGCGTCCTCACCTAGGTCTGCGGGTCCAGGCCCGGGGGTGGAACCCTACCCAGGGACCCGCCCTTCTCCTCCCAGCTCTTCCCTGCCCCACTCCTGTATCACCTACATGGACCATGAAGTCAGCCAGGTTTATTTGGGTTATATTTACATTCACATGGATTGAATGACATATATATATATATATTTAACAGCATTATGAAATAAAGTAACTTGTCCGTTTGTGTGTGCAAACAAACATGGTGTAAAACTTCAGGTTTATCTTTATAAATTTTTTTTATCTTTGTTAGCCAGCAATTAGGTCCATTTTTATAGATGTTTCTGGTAATTTGTTTGTTTTAGTCACATACATGAAATTTTTAGAAATATTATTTAAGTTATTTAAAGGCTGATCTTGAAGGACAAAGGTTTTCAGAGTAAAAATCTAAAAGTTTTAAGGTTGTTATCTTGTGATTTACTTAAGGCTTATGTGTAGCTTGAAAAAGATGTTAAAATCTCTTTGCTGTCAAGAGCTAGTTTCAATATTTTAGAAGCACATGACTTAAAAATCTGCACTAATAATTCTCATTCACAACATTGAAAGTTGGGATTTGTTGAGTTCTTTAAATTGGCTATAAGTTCCATTTCTTGAGTAAAAAGCTATTGAAAAAAATAATTAGAATAGTTAGAGTAAATGTCACATAAATTAAAACATTTTGACTAAACTATTAGTGTGTGTTTGTGTGTCAGATCAACATAGTCATGTGTTTCTTAGCAAGGAACTATTCACATATGTTTTGCTTCTGCTCAGGATAAGAGTACAAATCCCTCTGGCTCTTTCTGAACAATTACAACAAATAATTTTATTTGAAAATATTTCATAAATAATTTATAATTGTTATACACACAAATATTATATGTGTTTATTCTTATGATTCACTTCAACTTTATCTGGCAATCTCAAATGATAACTGATATCTCTAGCTGCTTAGTTTTTTATTCTTGTTAAATAGAACTCATGGACTCAGGTTTGCAGACATCCAAGTTGTGTTGTTCAGTTGCATCTCCAGAATTAGGTCATCTCTCCTTGGGGGGCAGTAGATGGCCTCCCTCAGAACTAACCAGTCTGCAGTTTTGTTTCCTGAAGAACCGTGACCATGACGAAACATCACTTGAATGTTGAAAGTTTTTATTTCTCTGTAACTTTTCTCCAGCAGCCTGATTACCTCCAGATTCCTGGCCTGATCAGTGACAGCCTTGTCCTGACAGAGGCTGATGAAACACACCACCATGTCCCAAGAAACTCTTGATTCAGTGCTGCACCCTAGTACCATAGCAATAATAACTCATGTAATTTACCTCCTCTTATTGCTTGAGAGTGAATGTCAAAAGTTTACTTTGCTTTCTAATGTTTATAGGTAATACGTGTGAGCAAGCTTCTTGGGTTTTAATACCAGCTCCACCTCTGACTATCTATACTGTTTTGGGAAAATTACCTAGCCTCCCTAACCTCAATTTCCAAGTCTGTAAAATGGGAATAATAATAGCAGCCTATTTTGGAGGATTACTGTGAATATTAGATGAGTTGAGGGCAAGATGTGTTAATTCCTGTAAACCAAGTTGAATAGGACCTGGCAAATGGTAAGCAACCAATAGATACCAGTTATTATTACCATCGTAAGATAAGTGTATTTTTGCAGCAGTGGCTCTAGACTGCACAGCAGAATCACCCAATGAAAATTTTAAAAATCAAGCTACTTGTGTCCCAGCCTAAACTTACTGAATTAGAACCTCAAGAGGTAAGTCTCATCATGTGTTTTTTTTCTTTTAAAGTTCCAAAGATGATTCTGATATTGCAGCCAAGTTTAAGTCTTACTGCTGCAAGAAGATATTATAATTCTAATTGGTGTCCAGTTTTTATTAATTACAAGTTAATCATATACTAACACTGACCATTCTGTGCTTTATTGACTCTAGACCATTATTCAGTGTCATTATTAATGTAGATATCTCAAATGAGAGGTTGAGACCAATTTTTTTCCTATGCCATTTACATGCCATTTTTAAAAAGTAGAGTTGGGAAGAAGAGCCCACCGGGTTGAAGTTTAACTATGAAAATACAGTGTAGACAGAAAGGGAAACCTAGATTTTAGTTCAGCCTTAGAGTGAACAGTCATTTCCTGGGGAATTGTTGGTGAAAGGTTGAATTTACATGAACCAGATGGTAAATCTGAATTTTGTTGTATCTTTGTTTCCCCCAGTATTTCCACTGCCCCTTTAGAGCACAGTTGCACTACAGTCAGGGTAAACTTTTTCAGGTTTGCCCCAATATTGTTATTAGCTAAGATTTATTAAAGGCCCTCTGTTTTAGGGGCTTCATATGATTTTATCTCAATAATGCCACGAACTAGGAACTAATTAATATCATCATTTTACCTATAAGGAGGCTGAAGTCAGAGAGATTAAGCAACTTGCCTAAAGCTGCAAAGTTTATAAGTAGTGTAGCCAGGATATCAGCCTGGACTCTAGAGCTGTATTTTTTTTTTTTTTTTACTTTAAGTTCTGAGATTCATGTACAGAACGTACAGGTTTGTTACATAGATATACATATGCCATGGTGGTTTGCTGCACCCATCAACCCATCATCTAGGTTTTAAGCCCCACGTGCATTAGGTATTTGTCCTAATGCTTTCCCTCCCCCTTGCCTTCCATCCCCTGACAGGTCCTGATGTGTGATGTTCCTCTCCCTCTGTCCATGTGTTCTCAAGAGAGCAGTATTCTTAACCACTGCTCTGTACTGCTGCCTCCCACAACTGCAGCTCTTCAGCCCATCCCACTTGAGAATAAATACATCATCTTAAAGATGACTATTTTGGGTAAACACAAATATTCTTCCTCTGGGCATTTCTTTCTCTCTCCGGACTTTTGTCTTCTGCTGCAGGTTTTGGCCACTACTCTACCTTCATTAAATTTGCTTTTCTTAGCATTTCAAGTTACAGTGCTATTAAAAACAGTTTTTCATTTTCTTTTAAAAATGTACCGTGGGAGAAATGCAGCCATCTTTCCTTCGGGGCTCTTTCTTTTAGACATGATTAAACAATCCACATCAATAAATGACTCAACCGGGTGAAACAGAGAATTCCTAAGAAACCATAAATCTCACAAGTTTCAAAGGCTGCTACCCATTTCACATTGTTCAGATGAAATATATCACCCTAAATTCAACTTTAATCATATTATTCTGATTGTCTTTGCTCCTTATACTTCAGATTTTCAACACTTTGGTCTTTTTAATTTTTGGTCCATCCTTTGTTTAGTGCAAGGCCTTCCACACATATAGGAGCTCAGAGCTTCTTTGTGGTAATTAAAAATGAGCCTCTTCAAATTTTGAAAAAAAAAATATTAGCTATGGGGCTTAAATGAACTACTCTGTCTCAGGTTTCAAACAATTGGATAGTGATATTTTCCAAACACCCTGCACAGCCAAGCACTTGCAGTGAAGTGATTTTGCCACTGGGGAGCATCTATTCTGGTGCCCCAACCCCTGCTCATGGTACCAGAACCCTAACTCCATTCTGCAGAACTGTACTGCTCCTATTCATAGATCTATGATTAGGATAATATTGACCCACCCAAGCTAGAAACAGAAACTGTGAAGTCCAGTCTTTTGTTCAACTTAATTGCATCAGGCCTGGGCCTGTGAGTCAGTTCAAACCAATGAGACATTGCAAATATTTGCTGGTGTCTTTTGGGTAAAAAGCTTTTCTTTCCACTGAGACCTATGAACACAATGTTACCTCTTTACTTCTGGACATTGAAATACAAGATTGTAAAGCCTAGAACTGTTGCAGCTATTTCTGATAAAAAGAGAAAAGTCAGTCTTAGAAATGATCTGATACTCAAAAAAAAAAAACAACTCTCATGAATTACGTGTGAGAATTCAGATCAAACCATAGTCAGAGAACTCTGGGCTTTTTAATTCCTTTTTATGCTTAAGGCTGCATCATCTGTGATTTTTGGCTACATACAACATAAAGAGTTCAAATTATATTTCAAGAGAGAAACAGAAGAGTTCATGCTTGAATTGTAAGTGTTCATAGAAGTTCTTTTATTTGTTTTCTTTAATTTTTTATTAATCTACTGGTGTTGGTCATACCAAAGACACAGAGAAGTGAAATAATTAGCTATTCATAGATTCAGAGGCAGCATAAAGATAGAAATAAAAAGCAAGCTGTAACAAAATTTAATTCCTGTTTAAAGGCTTTGATTCAATCAACATGATCATTAATATGTATTTGAAAGCGTAGGTGATTCTAAAAGGAAGCTACTACCGGTCACTGTTAAGTGAGTTTGTTTTCAGTTGTATAAACTTTGTGATAATTATAAATTCAACCATGTTTCAATAGTCACAATATAATTATAGATTTGGACTTTCACAATCAAAAGCTCTTTGGTTGCTCTTTGAATTCATATTTCCAAGAATTGGGTTCTACTAAAATTATCATTTCATGACCTCTTTGTTGAATGCCCTTTGGCAATATCTTTGCTAGGTGGTCATATATCCTATGCTTAAGCATCATGGGTTCTAATCTTGATTGGTTTTTACTATTATTATATGTGTCCTTACTCTCAAGAGATGAATCATCTGATTGCTATCTCATTCCCTAAGTGCCATATAGAAATTATGTGTACACATGAAAGCCTTTTCGATGTTCAAAGATGTCCTTTATAACTTTTATTTATTTTTAAATTATCTTCAATATCTTCTCAGGATAAATTCCCCCAACATCCTTAAGTTATTTGATTTTTTAAAAAGTGCCAGGCAGAGGTTGCGGTGAGCCGAGATCACGTCATTGCACTCCAGCCTGGGCAACAAGAGTGAAACTCCATCTCAAAAGAAAAAGAAAAAAGAAAGAAAGAAATGTCTCTTAAGACATTTTCTTTAAGCCAAAAACATGAATGACAGTAAAATATATAAAAGAAAGGTGGATAAGGGACCAGAAACTTTCATTATTTGTAGATAATATGTTTCTCCAAACAAAGAAGCCCAAAGAAGCCTAGGGCAATGACCACGCATTGTATTCCAGGTGGTAAAGGATGGACTTTTCAATCAACTGAGCTCATAAAGTTGACTTTCCCTATTCCAAAAGAGTCTGTTAGAAGAAAATAAATGAGTACATCTACCTCACGTGATACACATAGTCAATTCCAGATGATTAAAGACTTCAAAGTAAGAAGTAGAACACTAAAATTATTATTAATATATTTAGGAGAATGTTTTATCATTTCAGGATAAAAAAGAAAAATTTTTAAAGAACTCAGAAGAGAACATAAGCTTTGAAGTAAAAGACTGATATTTTAAATTAATTTAAAATTAAGCACATCTATTCATTGGACAGCATCCAGTTAAAAAAAAAATAAAAAGAACACTAGCCATAAATAAGCAGAAGATATGTGTAGCATATATAACTGATGACAGATTAATCCAGAACATACAAAGTCTAGTAAGTAATTCTTAAAAGACATTGATCTAGTATAAAAGTATCTAGATAACAGAAACACAAATGGTCAACAAATATATGAAAAGAAGCTTAACTTCATTGAAATCACAGAAATGCAACTAAAAACCGTAATAAACCCCATTTTATATTCATCAGATTCACACAAATTAAAAAAGAAAAAAATAGCAAGTGTTGGCAAGGATGCAAATCAATAGATATTCCCAGACATAACATTGAAGAAAAAACAGCAGCAGATATATACATGTAAGATAAATTACATTTTTAAGAAATTACCTTTTTAAGAAATTAAAAAGGTAAAATGATTTTACATGTTGTTTAGGAGTACATGCATATGTATTCAAAGTAGATACAATGCATAGAAAAAACACATTTAATTCAGAGCAGTGAGTAACTATTGAGACGGTGAGATGGGGTGAGAGAGAAGGAATGCCATCAGAATAAGTTACCAGCAGGTTTAATTGTACCTCACATGCTTTAAATCTTTTATTTTCTTTTTCTTTGTTGTTTTTTGTTTTGTTTTGTTTTGTTTTTGCTTGGTGACTTTTTTATTGTGGTAAAGTATATACAACATAAAATTTACTATTTTGGTCATTTTATGTGTACAATTCAGTGGCATTAGGTACATTCATAATGATTGTGTTTTCAATAGTTAAAGTAAGTTTTTTCCCCTTATGGATGTGACTACCATCCTGGAACAGAAAATTTGGGTGGACAAGGCACTGAAAATGATTGTAACTTCTTTAACTTACAGGGAACAAGACTTGGAGTCCCTGCAAGTACCCTATAAGGGGTACTTGCAGCATATAACCTTTCTGGCTGAAATTACAGAACAGAATATAAATGTTATTAACTTTTTGAAAAAATAAAAAGTAAAATGACCCAGTAACAAATTAGAATATGGGTAGGAGGGAACTGAAGGGTCAAGGACTTAATAAGGTTATCTTACAAAGTGGAGAATTAAGATATACTGTCTATGGTTGTTGTAATACAAAATAGAGGTTTAGATGTGCTACCTAAAAATATACAAATACAGTTACTAGAGTAATATAGCCTTAGTATTATAAATATATCAGAAAAAGGAGTAGGATCTAACTAAGCTAAATCTAGCATAGCAGAATTTCAGTGGTTAATGCTGACTTTTCCAACAAAAATATATGTATATGTTCAAATGGAGAAGTAAGAACAGAAAGAGGTCGAAGTGCTTGCATCTAAGGAGCTGGACTCAGGGTGGGGAACTTGATCAGGAAATTGTGGCTTTTAATGATAATTTCTTCTGTTTTTTTTTAAGTAACATGCTTGTATTCTTTGATTAAAAATAATCATCATGGTATGTTTAGAAAACTGATTCTGTTCTGCTCTGAATGTTTCTCTCAGATTTATATCTAAATTTTAATTATTTATTATTGACAGTAGTATACCTATTATAGTATTACTGTAAAAAATGGAATGCAAGAAGAAAGGGGAAGCATTTTAAGTCTAGGAAGTAGAATAAAATATGCTGCAAAAAATGTTTTAGGTTTAGTATTCCTTGAAATATAATTCAATCTTGATGTTCAAGAGAATTTTTGACTGTATCAGTCTTTGTATATAATCAAACAGAGCACAAAATGGGTACACTCAACCTTAGGAAACTTGAGGTTTAGTAAATTTTCCTTTTGTAATATCTTACCAAAAATGGTTGTGTTAATTTTTTATGTTCATGCAATTTACTTCCAAGACAAGGTGGTTAACGAGGGTTTTGTAGTTGTTTGACAGTGGAAGCTAAACAAGATATGTCTCAGTGGAGTAATTATTGCTTATGTATGTATTAGAATTTATCTATTAGTAAAAAAACAGTCTTATAATTATGTCATAAAATTTGATTAGGGACATAAAACTGGAGATTGTAATACTATTAGAGTGCAGGGAATCTGCAATTTTCTAAAAATCTAATTTTGGAATGTGTCTCTTTTGGATACTAAATACAGAATTTTTTGGCCCTAGGGTAAGTAATCTTTTATCTGAACTCTTTCTTGAATTTTCTAAGACTTATAATAATCAAGGTTTGGATTGAAAGCATAATAAATTATTCAGAGATGCATTATATCCTTGATTTTATAATTACCGAGCAAGAATTCCAGAGATATGCACAGTTGCATGTTCCATATAGACTCCTCAGAAATCATACCTTCAACATAAGTAAAATAACTTCCACTAGTAATTTATTTATTTTTTGTGAGGGATGGGGGGATTAATTCTTAAATATTAAGGCATTAAAGTTTCTACAAATTGTTATCCCTGTAAGATTTCATTTTAGGAGTCATGAAGATATATTGGGTAGTAAACATAAAATTATATTTTGTCTTTGCATATTCAAGTCAGTCCTCTAAGTGTGATTGTCATTTAACTTATGTAATGCATAATTTTTCTTATCTCTTTCGAGATAAGAAAAGAATTTCAATAGAATTACTGCATTAACTATGGAGATGGGGTGGTGATTAAGGGGAATATCCCACCAAAGATATGAACTGTGGTCTGGTAAGAGTATGGCAAGAGGAATAGAAGAAATGCCACTACATTACTTTTAATGCATTTCCCATGAAGATTGTCTTAGTCTGTTTGTAAAGCTATAACAAAATATCATAGACTAATTTATAAATAACAGAAATTTATTTCTCACCTTTGGAACTTGGGAAGTTGAAGATCAAGGTGCTGTCAGGTTCAATGTCTTGTGAAGGTCCTGGTCTCCACTTTCAAGATGGCAGCTTGTTGCTGCATTATCTGGAAGAGAGGAATGCTATGTCCTCACATGGCAGAAGGTAGAAGGGCAAGAGGGCCAAGTATTGTGTGAAGTCTCTTTTATCAGAGCCTTAATCCCATTCACAAGGGAGGAGCCCTCATACCTGATCACCTCTTACACACCTCACCTCTTGCTACTATCACATTGGCCATTAAATTTTAACACCTGAATTTTGGAGAGGACACATTCTGACTATGGCAGAGATTAAGCTGTAAAACTTGACTAACATACATGATGAGACAGTTCATCTATTAAGATTTATTTTGAACTGAAGAGGCTTTGGGAACTAGCCTAGAAAATGTATATCTTATATAATTTTGTTTTTCCAAGAAAATGCAATTCTATTTTACAACAATTAAAAGAACTTTAAGAAAATACTTTTGGAATATTATCAGTTCCTACATTTGAAGTCTCTTTATATGTATATGTGTGTGTAGTCACATCAAGTGGTATATATAATATGCTTTGTATTAGTTTGTAAGAGCTATTATCAAGTTCAGCTAGCCAACTGAAGAAATTGTGGTCAGCCTACAAAGAGTTGTCATGTGTATTAATAATGTAATCTGAATGACTGCAGAGTGATGAAATTATACTGTTAGTAGTTAATAAAGACAATAGAAAGTCTTCCATGAATGTGTATTCATGACAGCATGAGAGAATAATTCTGTCTAGTTACACTTTGAAATCCTGGCATGTCATAGAAGCTTTGTTTGATTTGTTGCTGTTGCTTTCTTGACAGAAATTCAATTTAGGGAGAAACTCTGAGACCAACGCATCTCTTACCTGTTTTGTGAAGCATGGCATTGAATACTGTCTTATACCTATTAGCAATCATGGCAAGAAGACATTAGTAACGATGACACACATGCATAGCATCACCTTCTTACTTTATTTAAAGTGTCATGCGATTGGGCCCCTTAGATAACTGTTTCAAACAGGTTTAGACAATTTTGCAGTTTAAACATACAGAGGCTACCAAAACCACTGACCATAAAATGTTGTTCTTTAGATCACATTTTTTAAAAAGTATCCTTGGTTATCTCCTCTTTTCAAAGGCTTCCTTTATCTTCATTTTGTTTTGATAATGGTAAGAGTTAATTCTAAATGTTTTTGCCATAAGCATGTGTGTTTGGGAATTCTTTGCTTTTTACTTACAGAACAGGCATCTAATTGAGCAAGTATGTCCCAAAAGATAGATATGTGTCTGGCAGTGCTTGCCCTTCACCTAAGTCCTTGTTCCATTAGAGTGACTATTATTGACAGACAGCACCATCTTTGATTCTTCCTTGATGCTTCAAGACTCAGCAAGAGTCACCTAATTTTATTATTGCTGTTTACAATTTGTCCCTTGACAATTACATTTTTACAACTAAGACACATTGATGAAGATAACTTTCTGGCATTTATACTGCTTACCCTTTGATTTAATTCAATCCAAAATACTTTTGTGAAACACCTACTTTGTGCCTGGCTGCAGGCAAGGTTGCTCTCTGTCTAGCAGGGGAGAAAAATAACTATATTATAGAAGAATAATGCAGACATATGTAAGATGTTAATGGAGTGTCTACTGTGGAAAAGATAAAAACTTTTGCTTTCATGGGAAGGGGCTAGATTGGGGTATTCAGGAAAACCCCTGTAAGGTAATATTTGATCTAGATTTTGAAAGATATATGTATTTTAATTACATATAGTAAGTACTGTATGTTCCCTGATGAAGTTCTATTTTTCAGGGAATGCTGCTGCACTTAGCGTCCTTGAGATCACACTTCTACTTTTGGATTAGTAGAAACATGAATGGAGGTAGCATTTTTTAAGGCACATATTCTTAAGTGGACACTTTACAGATTATGATTATGACTCTCAGTATCCTCTTTCTTTAGCCATGGGCCAGGGAGCCAGGGTAACTTAAAACAATATAGGAAAATAATACATTAGAAGGCTGGAGAAAATTTAGGAGATTTTACTTGTTATCTGATGGCTAACACCAAGATCCAAGCTTTCTTCACTATGAAGATTTTATAAGCATATATTTATTAATCTCCCATCTTTCACCACCATGACACTCTGTTAAAAAATATTAAGAAGCTTTGTTTATGTTTAGGTCCAGTCTCTTTTGATATCCCAAACAGGCTAAAATCATATACTTCAGCATTTCAGCATATGTAACAATTATCCAAAATGACTACCATCGGTGATTCCAAGGTAACTGTGCATCAAGTTATCTCAGGGAAATTAATAAAAACACAGAATTCTGAGCCTAACATTGGATGTTTCGCTGCAATAGGTCTGGGCTAGGAAAATATAATAAGGATTTTTAATATGTAATTTCGGTGAATCTGATTCAGTCATTTTATGAAATGGGGCCTGGAAGCCGTTAATCTAGATTTTATACACCTGCTAACGAAAATATACTTTTGAAAGTTCCAGTCTGTACTTGTGTTTTCGGGGGCTATAACTGGCCCCCAAGCAGAAGTATCCCAGAATGTAAAACTTATTGTAACCCAGTGTGAGGCATGGGGAGGAGGGAGATACAAATTAATAAAATTCATTTTGAGCACTCATAACCAGTTAGCCATTTTCGCCTTGAGCAACCCTGGCAGAAAATTATGGGAGAATAAATGTGAGTGTTTTGTATTCCTCTTATTCAATTCCAATTCTCTTTTCATGTTTAACATCTGGATGATTAATAACTTATTAATATTCTGCAATAGGAAGCTCTCAATTTATCAGTGTTGAAAGCCTTACTGTCAAGCTGTCAGAATTGGCATCCCCAGTTGTAACAGAATTGTCTTTCCTATGAACTGTCTCATGTCACATTTTCTCTCTCTCCATATAGATAGAAAGATAGATAGATACATAGATAGATTTTTAATGACAATTTTTTTCACTATAAAACCTCCTCCTAGTCATGTAATTCCTTTCAAAGTCATTCAGACAAGAAGTCTGGAGGCTCTCCCTAACTCCTGATTTCCAGGGAACCCCCAATTCATCCATTCCACCTCCAGTCTTCCCTGTATCAGCAAATGACAACTCCTTGCACCTGGTGCTTTGGAGAAAATTCCAGGAGTCTTTCTTGATTCTTTTCTTTGATTTATACCACACCCTCAATTTCCACTACATGAAAGCCCTATTCATCCAGCTCTATAATGTAGCCTGAATTAATTCACTTCTCTTCCTTTCCTGTAACAAATCACTGCCATTGCCATTGCACCGTTGTCTACCTACAATCCATTATTTATGCAGTAACAAGAGGAGACTATATAAAAACTAAGTGGAATGGGGTCACTCCTTCAATAGTGATTCTCCAATAGGTTCAAATTGCTTTAAATAAGATGCAAAATCTTCACCTTACCTACTACGCCATCAATCTCTGACTTCTGCCCACCTCTTTAACTATATCTCTGGTTTCACATTCCCACAAGCCCATTTTGATCCAAACACACAGGCCATAATTCTGTTCTTTGGACTTTGGGACTCATTCACTCTGGACCATTGCCATCCTTTCTCTGACACATTTTATCCTGGACTGCCTCCTCATTAATAAAGTCTAAGTTCAAACATCAACCATCGTTCACTGATCAGCCTAACTGTGGTGCTACCATTCTATTCTCTCTCTCAATATATTACCCTATTTAAGTGTTTCATAGAACTTATTTTTTAATTGTATAGTGATTTAATCCAAGTTTTTCCCTCTAAAATATAAGATGTGTCTGTCTTATTACTATATTTCTAAATCTAGAGAAGTCCCTTATATACTGTAGGTATGCAATAAATATTAACTGAATAAATAAAATAATACATTTCAAGGCACGATAACTTGAATTATTTATTTTCATTTTTCCAATTTAAAAGTTCCTGAATTATGAGAGGACTTTAATATTTTTTAAGACTCACAATTATTCTAACAATTCTCCTTTTCCCAGTTGAATCTCACCACATTCCATCTTCCACAGAGTTGCCAAAGTTAAATTTCTAAACCAATAAGGTGATGGACCTTTTACCATTCTCCAAATCCATAAGATAAAGTCAAAAGTCCTGAGCAATGTCTAAAGGCTTTTTATAATTTATTCTCCATCTGTATTTTTAGCTTCATTTTCTGCCTCTTCCCTTTGTACTCTACTATCTAACCACATAAAACTTGAGTAGTCTCAGACATATCATGTTATGTTGTGATCCATGCCTTCGCCAGTACTAGTATATTATTCCTTTTGAAGTTCACTTCAAGTGTCAGTTCTCCCCTCTTCATTGAGAGTTAGCTGTTTTCACAAGTCTCTGTCTTAGTGTTTAATACAGCATATGGTAATTATTTATTTATATGCTGTGTTAGCCCTGATGGCTAACATAGTGTGCTCAGCATATGTCCCATATGTGTAAATTGAATGAGTGATGGATGAATGGGTGGATGGGTGGATGGGTAGATGAATATATGAAAGATGTCTTCTACTAATTCATAATCATCGGGTGAATAGGATCCTTTCCCATTCATCTGAGTGTTCCCTTGATACTGGGCTTTAAACATGGTAAAGACTTTATATTACTTATTAAGGGAGTGGATAAAATAACTGTACTTATTTATCCACTGTACTGTAATAAAAGTACTTATTAAGAGAGTGGCTAAAGTAATGGTATTCACATACTTTTACCTAAAGAAGCATTATCTTTGTCTTAAAAAGTTTTTTATTTCTGTGTGTTTTCCACCTGTGTTCTCTAACTGTGGAACTAGTAGCCACTAGTTATTCGAGGGTACTGAGCAATTGAAATGTTGCTAGTCCAAGCCAAAGTGTGCTGTAAGTATAAAATATATACATTTAGTAGAAAAAAAGATTGTAAATTAGCTAGGCAATAACTTAACATGAATTATATATTGAAATGTTAATAATTTGGGTATATTGTCACATAGACACTGTATTAGTTCATTTTCATGCTGCTGATAAAGACATACCCAAGACTGGACAACTTACAAAAGAAAGAGGTTTGTTGGACTTACATTTCCATATGGCTGGGGAGGCCTCACAATCATGGAGGAAGGCAAGGAGGAGCAAGTCACATCTTATGCAGATGCTGGCAGGCAAAGAGAGAGCTCTTTCAGGGGAACTCCCATTTTTAAAACCATCAGATCTCGTGAGACTCATTCACTATCATGAGAACAGCACAGTAAAGACCCTCCCTATAATTCAGTCACCTCCCTCTGGATTCCAAAAGATAATTTATTTTTAATTTTGGAATAGGTCCAAACTTTAGTATCAGAAAAAAAATTCTCTAGTTTTCTTTGTTTAGACTTCAGCTTTATTTAAATGTTTTACTTTGCATTGTATTTTATTTACAGGCTCTGACATACATGTTTTGAAACAATTATGATTTTCCTTTTATTATTATTATTATTATTATTTTAAGATAGAGTCTGGCTCTGTCACCCAGGTGGGAGTGCAGTGGTGCGATCTCGGCTCACTGCAAGCTTCACCTCCCGGGTTCACTCCATTCTCCCGCCTCAGCCTCCTAAGTAGCTGGGATTACAGGCGCCCGCCACCACGCCCGGCTAATTTTTCTATTTTTTTTATAGTAGAGACGGGGTTTCACCATATTAGCCAGGATGGTCTCGACCTCCTGACCTTGTGATCCGCCCGCCTCGGCCTCCCAAAGTGCTGGGATTACAGGCATGAGCAACTGAGCCCGGCCCTAATTTTTATTATTTTTGTAGGAAAAATTTTGTTTTTGAAATCATATATATATAGAGAGAGAGATATATCTAGAGAGAAAGAGACAAATACACTTTTTTTTCTTTTAGTTGAAAGTTGTGGTTTTAAAAGAATCTGCTTACTTACAAATATTTACCTAGTAAACATTCTAGGTTTGGAATCACAGTTATCTAGGGGTACAAGAGGAACGGGGGTCGGGCGCGGTGGCTCACGCCTGTAAACCTAGCACTTTGGGAGGCCAAAGCAGGTGGATCAGCTGAAGGCAGGAGTTCGAGACCAGCCTGACCAACTTAGGGAAACCCTGTCTCTACTAAAAATACAAAAACATTAGCCGGGTGTGGTGGTGGGTGCCTGTAATCCCAGCTACTCAGGAGGCTGAGGCAGGAGAATTGCTTGAACCTTGCAGTGAGCCGAGATTGCCCCACTGCATTCCAGCCTGGGTGACAGAGGGAGACTCTGTCTCAAAAAACAACAACAACAAAAAAAAAAAACAGGAAGGGGATTTGAGAGGTTAAGGAATAAGTCTAAGGTCAAGAACATGGTCGTTTCACCATGCATTTCACCGTGCAAATCAGCAATCAGGATTTATTTATCAAATTTGATCATCTTTCTCATCTCTGATATCATGCCCTGTTCTAGAGCTTTACTACTTTTTACCATGATAATTTCAACAATCTCCTGTTATCCTTCTCTCCATTGTTGTCTGCATTAAATCCATGTTCCACACTGCTACCAGAGATGATTAAATATTTATAATTTAAAACTATCACTTTCCTAAGTGAGAGCCTTTGTTAATCACTAACTATGACCCCATTAAATACAGGGATAAAGTCTAAATCCCTAGCTAAGGTGTACGTATCCCTGTGTAATTGAAATCTGGCTACCTCCAATGTCGTGTCTTGTTTGATGCCTCCCCTACCTCCTGCTACATGTTCTAACACCAATCTTGTCTTCCTCATTCTCATCTCCATAACCTGCTCTTCTCCACTTGCCTTTGCTGTCTCCTTTTGTTGCTCTCCTATTAATAATCTGTTGAATTATGTATCATTTCCGTACCCAATTTTATTATGAATCTGTTTATTATAAATTACCCAACAAGACTGCTTGTTCTGTAAGGCAGAGATCTTGCCTTATTCTCTGTGGCTTGTTTTCCTCATCAGAAAAATGAGAATGACTCATTACTTACATTGTAGGAGGAGTGAGTTAATACATGTGCCTGGCAAATAATCAGTGGTCATTAAATGTTATATCACTTAACATAATTATTGTAATTATCCATATTAATAGTAATTTGTTAAGCACTCAGTAATGTGTATATAGTAAATAAAGATCAGGTGATTAATTATATTTAGGATCCCAGGAAAAAGGGACAGGGAAGAACTGAGTTGAATTAAGAAGGAAAAAATTCAAAAAGCAAGCTTGAGACCAGAAGTCTCTAACTGGAACTACTGATTCCTCTGCCCTGGTCTAAACCTTTATCATTCAGTTAGCTTACATGCTAACTGTCTCCTGAGGAGTCATTTTTCATATATTCATTGCAAGTTCCCTCAGAGAGCATAGTATTAGATGATGTCGCATAGGACAAAGGCAACATATGTGGCTTTGGAATAGGACTTTTCAATGTACCCTCTTCAGCATTATCCTGATTTACTTCCTGTAATTCTGCACTGCTAATTTGGCTCTTTTCTATTTCAATAATAAATACCTAGGGGATTTTTTTAAGCAACTAAGAAGGATGTTATCAATTTTTCATAAGTTCCAGTTAGATCAAAGAGGAAATCTATCATGTAGTTGGTAAAAACAAAATTAACCAAAAGGTCATTCCAGAAAAAGCTGTAAAAAGAGCAAGAAAAATATCATATCACTTAATTGGTTATGATTTAAGTAATTAACTTGTTCTTTTTGTCTGGCACTAATGATATTCAGTAAGCATAATATATTGTTATAAAACAGACCTAGTTCTTGTTTTTTTGAGTCATTATGAGAAAAGCAGAACTTAGAGTCAGAAAACTAATCTGCATATTGCATTTGTATACAAATAAATATATTTTACATAAAAATAAATGTAAAATCACTTCATACATATTGCTGCTAATATGTAATGTAGTGTGTGAAATCTAATATTAGGTAATAGTTACTGAGAATCTATTTTTTCCTATGTAATTGTCATAATGATCTGGAGCTCAGGTTGTTTCCTGGAGTCATGCAGTGGCAGAACCACAAAATTCAACAGAGATCTGTTTGACCCTGGAATCTGATATCTGAAGCACTGCCTTGTCTTATTTTAATCACGTTTTGCGTGTCTGTGTGTGTGTGTGTGTGTGTGTGTGTGTGTGTGTGTGTGTGTGTAGCTAATTGAACTTTTATGCCTAGAACAGTGCTGGTCTAACATTAGATAAGGATCATATACTTTTATTACCTCAAATGCCCATAAGTATCATATTTTTATAATCACTTATCATACTTCAGCTACCCAATCTCTGAAAGTATATATATTTTAATCCTGTAGAATATTTTTATAATGAGATCCATGTCTGTATTACCTTCATTGAAGCACAAAGAAGTAGAAATTCTTTTTATTTCAATTAATTTTGTCTCTGTCCTGCTGCAAGAGATACCTACAATAATGGTATTTAAGGATTCAGTAAGTAGGTCTGTATTTCCCATTTACAATTTCTGTATGGCTTTATAAACATTGAAGACATCCCTTCTAAACTGCCCTAATTCCAGATCAAAGACTCATCTTCAGTGTTTTTGGTTAGAACAACAAAAACAGGAAGAATTATATTTTTCTTAAAAAAAAAGGTGTTTGTTAAAGTTCAGGGAAAAAAGAGAAAGAGTACCAATAAATGAGAGCAAGTGATGTTTCCAACTAGATAAAATGAGAATATCCAAATCCTTCTTAAAAGCAAATTTAATTAAATCTGAGGATACAGTGGGGTTTTGTGGTGGTGGTCGTGGTTGACCTATTTTTAGGTCACAAATCTCAGTGGAGAATGTAATGAAAGCTAAGGATTTTTTCTTCCAAGCAAAATGCTTGCATGCAAATAAATACAAACTTTTTTCATGATATTTCAGGGAATAGGGCCCAAAGGATGGACCTTAGGTTAATAACTTCTGACTGAATCTATAAATTAGGATTCACTTTACTGAATTGAATTCAGTTTTCACTATCTCCTGCTAATGATTGTGTCTTCTAAAGCTATAACATGTTTTACTGCTTTACCACTTGATGTCTCCACCTATCATTTACATAATGCTAATGCTATTTCATCTCTCTAACTCTGCTAGACATTTTTTTCATTAAAAGTTTTAGAAAACATCCAGACTTTTAAGAATTGTCCCACATGCCTACTACGTTATTTGAACATTGTCTCAGAGGAATTATTTCATGTTCCCTTTTTAAATTGTTAATTGACAAATTATCATGTATGTTTTTGTGAGGTAAATTGTGATCTTTGATATATGTACATATGTGGAATAATTAAATCAATCTAATTAACATATAAACCACCTAAATTACTTGTCATGTTTTGTGATAAGAACATTTCAAATTTAATCTCCTAGAAATTCTAAAATATACCTTATTTAACTATAGTCACCATGCTGTGCAACAGATCTCACAAAAACTATCCCTCCTGTCTAATTGCAACTTTGTAGCATTTGTCTAACATGTCCCCTTTTCCACCACCTCTCAGCCTCTGGAAACCACTGTTCTCCTCTCTGAGTTTGAATGTTTTAGATTCCACTCATAAGTAAGATCATGTGGTATTTGTCTTTCTGTGGCTTGCTAATTTCACTAGCATAATGTCCTCCAGATTCATGTTGTCACAAATGACAGAATTAATTTATTTTTTAGGTCTGAATAGTATTCCATTGTATATTTATACCACATTTTCCTTATCCACTCATCCATTGATGGACACTTTGTTCGATATCATATATTAACTGTTGTGAATAGTGATGCAGTGAATAAGGGAAAGAGATATCTCTTCAGCATGCTAATTTCGAATCTTTTGGATATATACCCAGAAGTGGGATTGCTGGATTATATGGTAGTTCTATATGTAGCTTTTGAGAAACCTTTATACAGTTTCTCATAATGGCTGTACTAATGTACATTCCCTCCAATGAGAAAAATATGCCTTGAAGCCAGAAAGATCCTGACACAGTTAAGGAACTGAATGAAGGCCAATGTACCTACTCATATAAATTACTGGGAGAATGTCAGACAATGTGGTTTGACAGAAAGGCATGGTCCATATTACACAAAACCTACAGGGTCCTATTTAAGAGTTGTATTTCATTTAAATATAATGTGGGACACTTAATGGTCTTACACTGGAGATTGATATGATCATAATTTAATTTTTAAAATACCATTTTGAAGGGGTTTGGAAAAATGGAATGGAACTGGCAAATATGGTGGCAGATAAACCATTTAGGAGATTGTTTTTCTAGTTCTGATAAGAGAATTATGGTGGTTTTAGCTAAGAAAGTATAGTGATGATAGATAAAAGAAGATGGAATCAAGATATATTTAGGGAGTAGATTTGATAGTTGGGAGGTGGACGCAATGTTAGAAATGACTCTTAGGTGTCTAGCTTAAATAATTTAATGAATGTATGTATTATTATTAGAGATGTTGAAAATACGAAGAGAGGCAGGATTGGTAGTTCAATTTTGGATATGTTAACTTTGAGATGCCTGTGAGACATTCAAGTGGATATATCTAATAGTTCAGAGTAGAAACTAGGGCTTTATATAGAAATGTGTGAGTTTTCAACATCTACACTCATGCATTGCTTAACAGTGGGAAATGTGTCCTTAGGTTATTTTGTCATGCAAACATCATAGAGTGTACTTACCATATAGCCTATTACACATCTAGGCTATATGGTATAGCCTATTGCTCCCAGGCTACAAATCTGTACAGTGTGTTACTGTACTGACTACGGTAGGCAATTGTAACGCAGTCATATTTGTGTATCTAAACATATCTACACATAGAAAAAGGTACAGTAGGCCTGGCGCAGTGGCTCACACCTGTAATCTCAGCACTTTGGAAGGCCGAGGTGGGCAGATCACCTGAGGTCGGGAGTTCCAGACCAGCCTGACCAACATGGAAAAACCCTGTCTCTACTAAAAATACAAAAAATTAGCCAGGCATGGTGATGCATGCCTGTAATTCCAGCTACTTGGGAGGCTGAGTCAGGATAATCGATTGAACCCGGGAGGCAGATTTTGCAGTGAGCCAAGATTGCACCATTGCACTCCAGCCTGGGCAACAAGAGCGAAACTCCATCTCCAAAAAAAAAAAAAAAAAAAAAAAAAAGAAAAGAAAAGAAAAGAAAGAAAAAGGTACAGTAAAAATGCAGCATTAAAATCATATGAGACCACTATCCTATATACAGTTTGTCCTTGATGGAAACATCGTTATGCAGTGCATGACTGTAAATGGCATTTAAAGTTATGGTCCTAGATAAGATATCCCAAGAAGTGAGTATGAAAGTGGAAAACAGAAATTCAATATTAGCCTTGAAGAGGTTTAAAGCATGGGTCAAGAAAGACAAAACAAAAAAGTAAACTAAGAAGAAATGAGGGTAGGTCATTTCCCACAGAGAAAGGGTAGGTCAAGAAGGCTGTGAGAAAGGAGTGGTAATCTGTGAGATATGTACCAAAGAAAAAACTAAAAATATTGTCCATTGAGTTTGGAAAATTGCATCTTTGGTGATACACTCTCCAAAGAAACTTTACTAGCATATTAAGTTGAGAAGCCAGATTGAATTGTGTTGGAAAGAGAATGAGAAGAAGTGGAGACAGGAAGTGTAGGCAACTTTTCAAGAATCTTTGTTCTGAATGTGTACAAAATGTTTTGTGGCAGGGGTGCAGGGGGTAGGGGGTAGCGTTTTGAAGAAATTCAATCAGGCATTTTTTTTTTTGAGACGGAGTCTTGCTCTATCGCCCAGGCTGGAGTCCAATGGCGAAATCTCGGCTCACTTCAACCTCTGCCTCCTGGGTTAAAGCGATTCTCCTACCTCAGCCCCCGAGTAGCTGAGATTACAGGTGCTCGCCACCACGCCCGGCTAACTTTTGTATTTTTAGTAGAGACAAGGTTTCACCGTATTTGTCAGGCTGGTCTCGAACTCCTGACCTCAGATGATCCACCCGCCTCAGCCTCCCAAAGTGCTGGGATTACAAGCGTGAGCCACTGTGCCCAGCCCAGGCAATTTAAATGTACATTCTTCTTACCTTTCTCTCTCTTCCTCTTGCTTCTTTTTCTTCCTATTCTTTTTCTCCTTTTCTTTCTCCTCCTCCTATCCCTTTTCCTCACCTTCTCTTCTCCTCCCACTTTCCTTTCTCCTTCCTCTCCCTGTTCCCCTCCTTCTTCCCCCCATCCTTCTTCTCCTTCTAAGGCAATGGATACTAAAGCAAGTTTAAATGCCTAGAGAAATAATCTGGTGGAATAAAAGGAGGTTGCCAGTGAAGGTAATATAATCCCTTAATACAATGTTTTTTTTTTTCAGACTTGTGCATTTTTTTTCACTTTGATACACACATTTTATTAATCTCAATGGTAGAAATAGAATAGGATCGATCTCAAAGTGTTATCTGGCCTTAAAATATACAGAAAATGTAACATTCATTTGGGATGTGGAAATCAAAGGACTGAGTTAGTGTTTGAAGATCACTTTTAGAATTTGACTTAAAAAGGAAGAGTGGCTATATTTGCCTTAAAGATGAAGTATGAACTTAGGAAAAAAGGAAGTCAGGTTTTTGTTCATTTGTCCATTTGTTTTTGAGAAGGTTCTGGCTCTGTCACCCAGGCTGGAGTGTAGTGGCACAAGCTCAGCTCACTGCAACCTCCACCCCCAACCTCAGCCTCAGTGGCTGGACTACTGGTGCATGCCACAACACCCCGCTAATTTTTGTATCTTTTGTAGATATGGGGTTTTGCCATGTTGCCCAGGCTGGTCTTGAACTCCTGGGCTCAAGCAGTATGCTTGCCCCAGCCTCCCAAATTGCTGGGATTACAAGTATGAGCCACTCTGCCCAGCCCAGTTTTCTTTATATTGAAGTTAAGGTGGTCAAATGACTTTGAATTTGAAAGTAAATGTTGCAGACAGACTAATGGAAAGCAGATTGTACATATGAATTTATAAACCATATTTATGAAGTCAGTTCCAAGTTAATATAACAGATATCTGGAAGATAGCAGATTAGAAAATAAAAAGGACTAGATGGGTATGAAGAATGAGTAAGAGAGACAGAAGAGAATCCTGCTTAGAGAGTGAAAAAAAAAAAACGGAATAGACACAGGCAGACAATATGATTTTGGATGTGTATATCACAAGAGGAGATGGTGGCTGAAACTAAAGCTTGGAAGCCATTTTTCTGAAAGAAGGGAGTGGGAAATCATGTTTTTATAACAAGATAGATAATGCTTCAATAACAGGATTGATGAGACGAATAAATATTTATTCATTATTGTTAATTTTGTATTTACCTAAAATCAATTCTCATGTTAGAATTTATTCATAATTATCTGATAAGAGTTAGAGTAATAGTCATTCTCACGTACTTCTCTTCATCTGTTCTGCTCCTCAGTATTTTTCTTCTTAACTACACAAACTTTTCATTGTATTCTCATTTAAACAATTTTGACATCAACTTTTCCAGATCTCTTTCTGAGGTCCACCTGCCTACTAGAATATTCCACTAACGTCATTATAAAACTCACCAATGATGTAATGAATTATTGATAAATTATCATAATTGATGATAATTGATAAATTTCACTTGTGAATCCACTGTAAGATCCTTTCTCAGTGACTAACTCTACCATTGTCTGCTCACTAACACGAGGCACCAATAGTCAATCCTTTCCTCTTTCTGACAACCAATAACCAATCCTTCATCAAATGCTGTCCAGTCTTCCTCTTTGTTCTAAGCTTGTATTGAATCCAAATGGATTTTCCATCTCCTTGGTTTCCACCCTCATTTATTACATGTTATATTAAAACATTCTACCTAGTGATCCACCTTTGCTTGTTGTACTATTGTTGTATTTGCCTCTCATTCTCATTCCCTTCTTATTTAAACAACATCATTCCAGTTCATAATTAGGGGAACCAGCCTTTCCCTATTGATATGGTTTGGCTCTGGGTCGCCATCCAAATCTCACCTTGATTGTAATAATCCCCACGTGTTAAGGGTGGGATCAGGTGGAGATAATTGAATCATGGAGGTGGTTTTTCCCCTGATGTTCTCATGATAGTGAGTGAGTTCTCATGAGATCTGATGGTTTTATAAGGCTCTTCCCCCTTCACTCAGCACTTCTTCTTCCTGCCGCCATGTGTGAAGAAGGACATGTTTGCTTCTCCTTCTGCCATAATTGTAAGTTTCCCAAGACCTCCTCAGCCCTGTGGAACTGAGTAAATTAAACCTCTTGCCTTTATAAATTACTCGGTCTCAGGCAGTTATTTATAGCAGTGTGAGAACAGACTAATACACCTATTATCAGTGTGTGTAATTGGAGTGGACTTGTGCTGGCTGTACCCTTAAGAGCAGTCTGTTTCCCTAGCACAATGCTGGATTCACAGATGACATGAATAAGATGATCTATGACAGCACTCACTCAAACTTTGATTTTGGCTGTTGGGGAAAACAATATTTTTCAGAGGTATTGCTGAGCTGTGTAGTATATGTAAGCCAAAAGTTTCTGGTGGTTAATTCTGCAACCATATTTGAAGAGAAAAGTCAACATAGAAGAAAATCAAACCTAGATGAGAAGACAGGCACTTGACAGCATTGTTTGCACACATGGATCCAGCTGTGTACAGAGCTCTCACTCTCCCTTGACTTTGGAAGTTATATGCGCCAATAATTTCCCCTTTTATGCCTGAACTAATTTGAACTGAATCTCTGTCATATGTAGCCAAAATTTTTAATATACCACTTCTATATGTTGACCTTCCAATCTAGTTTTTACTGCCACCAGACAAATATTTCTAACATAGAAACCTGGTTATCAAACCCCTCTTGCTTTATTTGCATAATAGAGCCCTTGGGATAAACACAGTGCCTCACTGTGACCTGACAGATACCTTCATGATCTAACCTTTGACCTACCTTTCCAACTTTGTCTCTTGGCACTCTCCCTCCACCACATTTGTCCACTCATTCTTCTAAGTATTCTTATATTTAATTTGCTCTGCCTGAAATGTCTTTCTTTTCCAGCCAATAGGTAGTAACTATTTGCTCTCCTTTACTCATCAGGTTTTATGTTTAAAACCCTTCTTCGTATCCGGTAGCTCTTGGTACATTCCTTTATGAGACCCCATAGGATTTATTTCTCTTTCTTTCATTTAAACTTCCATAAAGAGAAGAATTTTTTTTCTGAATCTCCAGCTCTTACCAGATCATTTGGTCTATTAATAAATGTTTACTTAATGAATGCTTGGAGGAGCAAATGAATAACAATCTTTAAAAGGCTAAAATAATAAATTTACAGTGCCTTTTCAATGGGAGCAGGTTAGAATATTTTGCTGTGCTTCAGAAGCCTTGCTCATTTAACCTTAGGCATCAGAGTCTCAAGTTTTAGGGAAAACGAACTCTTATACATTTTGTAGTTAGAATAAATTTTAAAATATTTATATGAAAAAAGATTATATTTTAGAAATATAAAACAAATTAAATAATAATTATTTTACATTTGATATTTTCTTTACCATTTGTTAACTTACATTACAGTGAATGTAGGCATCTTTCTTACATATTTTATTTTTGATATATACACACATATCCTTTTGAGCTTCCTGTACAACACATCTTATGTGTAGTAATGTCTAAAATATTAATGCTTTATTTAGGTTTGAAAACTCCCCAGGAAGATTTGACATTTAAGATTAGATTCAGAGTGTATTATCATGAACATTGACAGCTGAGAGTGTGACTGAAGGGTCTTTGTCCTTACAAACTAAAAGCCTATTTATAGTGCTTAATGAAACACTAGAAAGCCATTTTCCTTACATGTTTCTATATACATCATTCTCTACAAAAACTTGATTGGTTGTGAGTATTTTTATTTAACAAAATTTAAGACGTTGGTGAAGATGTAGTTGTTTTATAGATCCCATTTTCTCAATACGAAGCAAATTTCTTGTTAATTTTTTATTGATTATAACAAATTATGAATGTGAAATGTACATGGCTTGCACTCGAAAAATGCTTCAGATATTGCCCATCTTTTTATTAAAATGAGATTAAATCAAGATGGTCTAAAATATTATAAGTTTACTTTTCTTTGTTCTTAATTTAAGACAAGTTAGAACTTTCAAATGAACCACTTTACATAGATTTATATTCATGCCCATCTGTCTGCATATAATAATTAAGAAAAAATATTAAAATGATTCATTTTCCCTACTTTAAAATTATTTTAAAAGGCAAACACTTCATTTACTTTCATTTCTCTCTCTCTTTTTTTTTTTTTTTTTTTTTTTTTGAGACAGGGTCTTTCTCTGTTACCCAGGCACAAGTGCAGTGGCATGATTATAGCTCATTGCCTCAAAATCCTGGGCACAGCCTCCCAGGTAACTAGGACTGGAGGCATGGACCACCACATCAAGCTATTTTTTTTTTTTTATTTTTTTAGAGATGGGGTCTTGCTGTGTTGCCCAGGCTTGTCTCAAACCTTTGACTTCAAGTAATCCTTCCGCCGCAGCTTCCAAAAGCACTAAGATAACAGGCTGAGCCACCTCACTAGCCTCATTTCTCTTTTTATTAAACTACTCAAGTTGCTTCTTACAAAAAGACTTTTATATTCTCTATTATTGGGGATTTAAAAAATATACCCTATCATTTGCCTTACCTCTTATGAATGGGATTCCTGAAGAACATGACAAATAACAAATAAAATGTAAACTCCAGATTCCAGCAATGAAATTCTCATTATTTTGTATATAATTCACATTTAACTTCTTATTTTGAAACATATGAATGAGCAAAGTACTATTTCTGGAGGGGACTACATCTGGCCATTCATTTAGAAACCTGCCTAATGTGTTTGAAGGGAAAATAAAATTGTGTAAATTAGTGGAAAGAAAGGTTATCAACAACATTTTTTTAAGTTTATGTTTTAACTTTATGTATCATATGTTCTATTCTAATTTACATACTTTTTGTTTTGAATGACATCAAATGATGTTATATACATCTTCTGGCACTTGTTAGCCTCATGAGTTTTATAGACCATGCTGACGTTGTTGATCCCCTTATGTATACAAAGCTTTGGAAATATTTATCAAAAAAGGAAAAAATCTTCACTGAGGAATTAGCATTCCAGTGACATGAGAATTATGCAATGTTAAGATTAAAATAATTTTCTTTTTTCATGAGTAATGCATGCTTATAGTTATAAAAAGAAAATAAATTAAAACTGCATGGAAGTATATAAAGTGGGAAGTAAAATGAAAAATATGCTGTCCTCACAAAACATATTTTAAGATGTATTTTCAAAAGAGTGTGTGTGAACAGAATTTATATGCACTTAATCACCTCTGGACTTAGTTTAGCAATCTACGCAGTTGTCCGGAATGAGATCTAGGTAAGCAGTAAGGGTCTAGGAGGCTTAAATGACAGGAAAAGATCAGGATTATCTTCTGCAAGATATCCAACAAGCCTATACTTGTGAGATCATGAGGACATTTCAGTTTCCAGGAGACCAATATATCACATTAGCTTTGGATTGATATCAGATTCCAGGAAATAATAATATCAATTTGACAAAACAGCTAGTCAATAAAAGGGCAAATATGTAGTTAAGTGAACCCAGAGAATGGTCTGACTTTCATCAGTTTCTCAGCAGTGAGCCTGAGCATTAACATTCAATCAGTGTTACATTTACTGTTTCCTCAAAGGCTTTGAACAGGTGATTCCCTATATATCCTAGAATCAGCCTTTGACAGAGATGTGACAGTAACTACATTTCCTCAGTCTCCAAACCCTCCTTCTCTCCTGACTCTTGGCCTGTGAACATTCTCCCATTGTTTCAGCCATCTAAAGAGGCAAACAAACCTACATACAAGAAATATGCCCTCCCTTCACCTCCAATCCTCCTCCAGATGTTGTACTATTCCTCACCTTTTCTTAAGAGCCATTGTCTTTCAAAGAGTGATTGTCTTTATTCACTCATTTCCAATTTATTACTCTACCCACTGTAATCTGGTACTTGTTTTCCAAAATCATTATTGGTGCTCCTCTCCCAAGTGTCACAGAGGGCCTCCATGTTGGGAAATCCAGCAGGCCTTTCAGTCTTTCTCTTACTGTGTACTTCTGACTAAGCCTCCATCAAATCACTTTATCTTGAATCTTAGCCATATTTTCTCAGCATTACGTTTCAAGCTCCTCCATAAGTTCCTCTTTTGCCTTTCATACCTTAAACATTAGTATTCATTTTAGATACACATTTCTTATCTATTATGCCTAATTTTGTGAACAATTGTCTGTTGATTTTCCATTATCTGTCTAAACATTTGACTAATTCCAGAGCTTCAAAGTCAAACATTTTATCTTTTGTATGACATATTGTCTTGCATCTAACCAAGTCAGAGTGTGCCCTACAGTTATGCCTAAGTGCTCTCTTTTGACTCTCCCATATCGGTTCCTCATTGGGTATCTCTTATCTCTATTAATTATAATTGAAAATCTGGAGTAATCTCAACTCCTCTGTATCTTTCACCAGAGTTCAAAATTAATCACCAAGAATCTAATATCTCTTAAATGTTTTCTTAATTTTTATATGCTTCCTAGCCTATTTTAATAATGATGATAAATAAGAACTATTTTAATAATATTAGCTAACATTTATTGAGTACTGACTACAATGCAGGCACTGTGACAAGTGCTTTACATGTATTCATTCATTTGATCTCCCCTACATTCTTATGAGGTAGGTGTTATTAGTGATTACATTTTAAAGGTAAGGAAATTAGTCAAAAGATGAATAAGTCACTTTACCAATCTTCTACCCCAAGTAAATTAGAGTCAAGATTTGAATTCAGGCAAATCTGGTGCCAAGCCTGCCTTTTAATCTCCTTACCTTTCTCCATTTTCACAATCTTACCATTCTTCAATCCTAAATGTACATGTAAATCTTTCTACCCATATTATTTTCAAGCAATATTCATACTATCTGGAAAACACATTAATAGTATATTGTGCATCACTGGCATGCCTCAAGTTCTGTTTTTAATTTCAAAGGTGTCTTACAAATTCACCACTTCAGCTCTTTGTTTATGATGAAGTAATAACTTACCAACCCAATCCTGCTCCAGTTGAGCAGTCTTCAGAAGGCATGGGCCAGGGGTACTTTTTGGGAATGGAACTATTAAAGTACCAGAATATCTTTGTGATATCTAGCCCTTAATGTGCCATGGTTAGGTCCTATTCCCTGATGAAGAATGCCAGTCTCCACCTGGGAAGTGATCATTCCTAGCAGACATTATGATTTGCAGAAGCTTTAAGGGCTGAAGCCTTCAGTCTATGGACATATATGACCTCAGATGCCTGATGCACAGAAACAGGGAGACCCTCAGCAGGGAGCAACCTAATTTCCGGTAAATGAAGAATAAGGACACATATCATATATATCATATATAACTTCCAGGGCAGATCCAGGTGTGTTGTGCCTCATACTTAAACTAATTGGGGATATTCTTTAAGAAGACTAATAAAAACTCTGAATATAAAATTAGATACAGGGTACCAAATGGGCTATGCAAGCAATGGGCCCTAATGATTGAGATTCCTTGGCTTTATGGACATCTACCTCTGTCCACTTCAATGAGTACTAGAATCATGTTGACGCAATTTCCCTCATGAGTAAATGTTCCCATATATTCCAAGTACAAATTTTATCCATGAGCCATAAATGAAATATTTGGATGTGTAGTAAAAGAAAAGCTTAAAGTCATTTGTAGAGATTAGAAAGTAGAGAAAGAACCTGTAAATAGATGTTAAGATTAGTAAAAATCTTGGAATTCAAAAGACTGAAGAGAAATTAGTTATTCTGATGACATACCAAAGAACTAATCGCCTGCTTTTCAGTATATTCATTCTCAGCAATTCTAAAGTCATGTTCTACTAGGTCTTAAGCTCTTAAATTAATTTCCTGACTTTCTGTTCATTTTCACTTCAAATCTTAAAAATACATGTGCACATATGCATACACACATATTTCTGAAGAAAAGAAAAGTTATTTTAACTTACATATTTATATTATGAACTTGGGATAGAAGCTGTTAAAATCTTGATCTTGTACAAATTTTTTTTATCATGGGTTTATTATTTTGCAATGCCAGTAATAAAGCAAGTTGTCATAAAAGTAGTCAACAGTGAATCATCTTATAACAATCAAGGGAGTAGGTGATACTTATTAAATCCTAGTTTTTAAAGACATTATGCTAAGAAGGCCCATTGTTTATAACATTTAATTAATGAAAGATTGCAGAAGTTTGTAAAGTTTAAATAAGACACTTGTGCTTTAGTTTCTGGCCCAAATACTTGTCCTAATTCTCCAGACTGTCACCTTTTTGTTTTAGATGAGCGCAAAGAAATAATGGCATTTTATAGACAGACCAAATTAAATTATATTAATTTGTTTACTCACATTTTAAGCACATAGTGCACTGGGGCTTAGAAAGATAAAGGAATCATTTTCTCTGGACTCCAAAAGCTTCTAATAGGTTTTTACCACTTACCAATATATTAACCAATTCTTTCCACCTGCCAGAATATTCTAGTAATAAAATGCACAAATTAGTATTGTCAGTCAATTAACTTAGCTTTCTTGAATACAGGCTGTTACAGTACTTGTTGATGCAAACAGAAAAATGCAAAAATGAGAGCCTGCTTTCCTTATCATACGAATAATTATTAATAGAAATAGTAATGTTTATTTTTCATTGTTATATCATGTATATTGTATTAGACAATAATAATTTTTAAAGTGAATGATCCTCACCACTGTGTTCAAAGCCAGCATCTATTATTATTAGAATTCTTATTTGAATAACTCCTTGACTTAGTAATTCAACTAATTACATTGTTTTGTTTTGCAGGTAGATATTTCTTTTGACTGTTGGCTTGAGGTTGATTTTGTTCCCTAAAATTAGAATCTGTAATTATAGACTAATGTAACATTTGAGATCTAAGACAGCAGTGATCTTGAATTTGTAATAATTTGACAATCACAAGTGCAGTAGGTTCTCCTTAGAGAATGAAAGGCAATTCTATTTGAGGCTTCTAGTAACAGATTCCAAAGACAACTTGTTCCTTTCTGCAGGATATGGAAAAAGGAGTTAGAGTTCAGATACTAACCCTATTCATTACTCTTGAAATCTTCCTTCTGACATGGAAATTCTCTTTTAGAGCACAGCAATTGACATTCAAATGAAGTTTGTTCTTTTCCTCAATGAAAACATTACTTGTTTATCTTATTATGAAAATTCATTTGTTTTACCGTTCATTAATGTTTGAAATGGGGCACAGAGTAGGCTTTCCTTTTTCCCAAGACACCACACCACTGTAATTCTCAAAGAGAAATGGTGGAACCACCCCAACATTTCTCCAAAATAGTTTTCATTTCTTTTATAGTTGCTTGAATTCCAGCTCTATTTGTTATATTAGGAAAAACTTAAAATGCTATGGGTGGGTGCATTTTTCTAGCATTTCAGAAAATGCACCTTTTAAAAAATATTTTTTTCTCACCATTTATTCTTTACATACCATTGTTCCATTTCTGCCTGCTCTTTTTGCACAATTTACAGGTTGATCCACTCTCCTTAGGAAAGAAAGCATTGGGTATTTTGTCTACAGATCCTATGTAAGAAGTCTTACTGAAATCAAATAATCTAGATAAAATTTAAATTCCTAAAAGAAAGTTATAATATCTTCCACAATTAATAATACAAATTATTAGCCAATGAGGCAGATCTTTGAAATGTTTCCCTACTTTTCCTCATGAGTACTATTTTATTTTCATTGAAACTATATTCTGATCAGCCAATATCATGAAAGATAAAGAGGCTTTTATAAGAAAACTGAATAGACCTTAACAGAAAATAAAACAAAGTACCTTATATTATTTTAATCCCTAAAATTATTGTTGATAAAACACAGAATGAATTTTGACCTGGCCTATTCCTTTTGTTTTTAATCTGTTATTTGTTTCATAAAAGGTGAACTGTGTAGAACCTTTGCATTTTATGGGTACATTTCCCCTACAGTAGCTCCTAGACACCCTGAAGAGGCAAGGTCAGTGATTGGAGAATTCAGAGACTTGAATTCTGGTCAAAGCACAGCCTCTAGCTATTTATAATACTTTTGTCACATTATTTTCCCTGTTTGTGATGCACTTTCCCCATATGTTACCTCCTCAATCAGGGACGGGTTGAGGATTTATGCATGAGTTCATGGAGTAAGTTGGATTCGAAAGAGAAGCATCATTGAAGTGGTACCTGTGATTGGTGTCAACAAAAGAGAGACAAACTTTTTCTTTTTTAATTCTGCTTTATTTCAAAAGGATTTAAGGACAATATAAGCTATGCTGTTTAAATAAATAATGAAGTAGAATAAATTAAGAAAAAAATGCCAGCTCTAGTTCAGAGTTCACGTGTAGCAAGACAGGAATACTTGATTTAAACATGTAACTTCTATTTATTAAACCAAAAATTATAGCTCTTGGTTAAATTATTTGAAGATAGAATCTGGGATTTCTTTAGCATATAAAACTATAAAAGGGTCCACCTTTAGGTATGTAATCAAGTGGTCTTAAATCTTCAATATGATTTTAAAGGAGAAACCTATTATTTTGATATTCAATTTATTTTTCAGCCCTTTTCATAGAATACAGATGTGAAATTATTTAATAATACAATTAAATAAACACACACCATGTTTCATACAGCTAAATGTAAGAGATAGCAGTAACATATAAGGGCTTCTGGATAGATACTGTATCTATTTGGGAGTGATTAAGTTCACTATTACTTTTCACTATGTTATTGTAGATGGAAAGCTGATCCACTTTGTTGAAATTTATTATTTATTTTCTTTTTTCTTTTTCTTTTTTTTTTTTTTTTTTTTGAGACAGAGTTTTGCTCTTGCTGCCCAGGCTAGAGTGCAATGGCAGGATCTCAGCTCACTGCAACCTCCGCCTCCTGGGTTCAAGCGATTCTCCTGCCTCAGCCTCCTGAGTAGCAGGGATTACAGATATGTGCCACCATGTCTGGCTAATTTTCTATTTTTAGTAGAGACAGGGTTTCTCCCTGTTGGTCAGACTGGTCTCGAATAAATTTAGTATTTCACTTTTAATAAATCATTTGGAAATTATCTTATCTCAGGTAAAAGTATTTGTCACCTGGGATTTTCATTCTTCAGTGGTAATAGCTGCTCTTAACTAACATTACATTGAAATTAAAGATAGCTATATTTAACATTTTGATATTGATTGCAGTCAGTAAGGCATGATATTTTATATTACATTTAGCAATTACAACTGAAGCTCAGGGCATTTATGAGGTGTTCATGATGGGAAGGGAGGAGTTGACATATGGAGATTACTTTGACTTCAGTTATTCATTGCACTTCAGAAAATGCTTAGTAATAAGGTCATTCTTCAGAATTTTAGGAAAAAAAGAAGTTTACATTATTTATTTATTTATTTGTATAGCGTATGTGTGTAGACAGATAGAAATAGAGAAAATTATAAAAGCCCTTTATAAAAGAGTATATACCTTATGATATCATGGCAAAATAATTATGTGGTGATAAAAAGCAAATAAGTCGTTGATTCATAGGACAGAAAATTTCTTGTGAAGAAATGTAGCTATGATAAATCTTCACATTTTAATAGGAGTTTAGGTTACACAAGTGTAAGCATTTATCAAAACTTAGGAAATACACATTTAAGCTATGTGCATTTCATGGTATATAAATTTTACATAAAAATACTGAAACAGAAATCAAACTCTAGTTAATAAAGCACACGTCAAAATTTAGGGAGGAGTGTGCCTATACTCTGATAAGCATAAAACATTCGATGGATCAGAATGAATAAAGGGGCTCACAAGAAAAAAACATGCTAAAATAGCTAGGAAAGCAAAGAAAAAAAGCTACAAGGGAGAATTCGTCTTGCTGGATATTAAAAGATAGTATAAAGTTTTATAATTAAAATAATGCCATAGAGGAGCATGGATAGACAAAATGAATGAAATAGAAAATATACAGATAAATACAAAAATAAATGGAGGTTTAATATATGATAAAAATGACAAATCACTCTTCTAACACTAATAACTGATGCTGAAACAACTGGTTTATCATTTGATAAAAGATATAATTTGACACAAATCTCACATCAGAAGAAAAGAATAAGCTGCACATAAATCAGCATTCTAATGTTTTTGAAAAAATTATCTAAATTCCTCTTAACCTTGGTGGAAGGAAATGCTCTCTGTCTGTGGTGATACTGCACATGCAACAGAAGAAAATATTGATACATACAACATTTTATGTAGCAAAGCAATAAGTTAAATGAAAAGACAAACGTCAAACTGATAGAAAATATTTCCAGATATGTCGCAGATGGAGTGCTAATATCACTATAAAGATCTCTAAAAAATTGATAGGGTTCAAAGCAAGACAAGCAAATAAACAAAAACCCTCCAACACAATAATGAATGAAAGACTAGAAAGGACATTCACAACACACATGGAGAGATAGATAGATAGATAGATAGATAGATAGATAGATAGATAGATGACAGATAGATAGATGATAGATAGATAGATAGATAGATAGATAGATAGATACAGAGACTGAGAGACTGAGAGAAAATTGACGTTTCACACATTCAAAGATGTTTGACTTCATTCTTAATTTTTAAAAATGCAAGTTAAAACTGTACTGAGATACGTTTATTCACCTAGCAGTTTGCTGAAAACTTTAAAGTATGATAACACGTTCTGCTTGCAAGTCTATGGGAAAACCAAAACTGTTCACACATTGATGATGTGAAAGTAAACTGCAACAACCCTTGTAGTGAGAGATTTGGCAATACCTAATAAAACTGTATATGAATTTACCTTTCATTCAGCAATTTAATTTCTAGGAATTTACCCTCAAGATACAGCTCCAAGTATGTGAAAAAATACATGCACAAGATATATGTTAAAGGAAATAGTTATCAATAGATGACGTAGGTACAGGAGAAAAACTTCTTCGCCCTCTTGAAGGTTTGCTGAAAATCACAGACAAAGGGAGATTAACAGGAAAGAAAAGGCATACAGTTTTATTTTATCATAGTTTTACGTGATATGGAAGCCTTCAGGATAAAAGCCCAAAGATACAGGGGAAGTTTGTCCATTTTTATGCTTAGATTCAACAAAGTATGAACAGCTGTGTAGAATATGACTGGACAGAAAGGGGTACGATATAATGCCAATACACTGAGTGGGGAAACACAACAAAGGCTGTCTGTCTAGATTTTTACCTCTCTGTGCAACAGTCCTTCCTTATGGGTGTGGGGCAGGACCCTCTCCAGAATGGGGATCTTATGATCTGTAGTTAAACAATGTAGGTCAAATATTTTCTTGATGGACAATTTTTACACAAAAAGTTAAAGGGTGGGGAGTTAGAGGAATATTTTTAGGTTTTGTGACTGGCTTTGGGGAAACGGGGTTCTGTTTATTATGACCCACCTTGGAAAAGAGGGATTCTGGCTAGCCTTGGGGGAGAATGAATGAACAGAGACAGGAGGGCAGGAGAAGGTCAGAGAAAATCTTTTATTATGAAGCCTTTGTTTTGGTGTATCGTTTTCTGAGCTCCAATAATGATGTAACTAGTGAGTGAAATTTTGATAAAAATTGAAAAGTTTACAAATTCTCACCTTAAGTGATCAAAGTTAACATTAGTAATGGCACAAATCACATTCTCTGTCAACTTCTATGATGCACTAAATACACAGTATCACTTCTCTTGCATTCTTGTCAAAAAATGCTTCCCTGAATGTAATGATGTGTAAATACCAGACAAATCTCTCTTCCTCCCAAAATGATGTTCCTATTATTGTCATTTATAACAATGATTGTACTTAATGAGAATAAAATACAAAGAGAAAAAACAATGTATTTATTCTTTAAAACTGTGCATGGAGAAATATGCAAGAAGAGAAATTTATGATGCATATAATCTTTTAATTGACACTTAATTTAGCAGCAATTAAACCTTGCGATTACTATTTAATATTTTTTAAATTTTATTTTAGTAGGTAAAACAACATGATTTCTCTGCTTTAATTTTTTAACTTATTTCACACACAAAACTGATATTAATTGTTCTTGTTGATGGATTTAAAATGTTTTTGTAAATATAACAAGTAGTATTTAAGTTTTTATGCCGCAAGAACAAAGTTGTTCCTTGAAACATTTCTTTAGTGTCAGAAATTCATGATATTCAATTTCAGAGTATTATTAAATACCATTTATATTGATTTTATATTTATTGGCATTAGTATATAGTGCTATATAGTTAACAAAGATAGAAATAAATGGAAACAGTATCTATTCTCACAAAGCCCCCATTTTTGCTGTATGCAGAGAGACGCTCCTCATTGACCCTGCTCAAATAAAGTGCAATTATCTGCATGACTTTCTGCTCCACTTCATCTAAAGATGCAACTGTTCCTCTGGCAACAGAACATATCATCTCTCGTAGTCAGGGTGATTTAAGGACTTCTAGGCTCAGTACATTCATGCAGAGTGATCCAGTGTGTGTACTGCACAAAGACACCAGCTGAAGAAATGAGTGGGTGCACTCTGCTGATGATGTGGGGAGGGGCTGTCTCACTGAGAAAAGGGTGACTTTTTCTGGATACAAAGGCTTCATTTGCTTTTAGGTTTGTGATAGCAGGACTCCACTGGCTACCTGGGGCACATTTTTCTTTTTTTCTTTTTTTTTATTATACTTTAAGTTTTAGGGTACATGTGCATAACGTGCAGGTTAGTTACATATGTATACATGTGCCATGTTGGTGTGCTGCACCCAGTAACTCGTTATTTAACATTAGGTATATCTCCTAATGCTATCCCTCCCCCCTCCCCCCACCCCACAACAGGCCCCAGAGTGTGATGTTCCCCTTCCTGTGTCCATGTGTTCTCATTGTTTAATTCCCACCTATGAGTGAGAACATGCGGTGTTTGGTTTTTTGTCCTTGCGATAGTTTGCTGAGAATGATGGTTTCCAGTTTCATCCATGTCCCTACGAAGGACATGAACTCATCCTTTTTTGTGGCTGCATACTATTCCAGGGTGTTTATGTGTACCTGGGGCACATTTTTCTAATCACACAAAAATAGGCTGGTTGTGGCCTTCATTCTAGCTTAACCCATTTCCCGTTTGCACCTGCAGTACTCACCAGTGGCGCTTGTGGCTGTAGCGTTTACCCTGAGATAACTTTGCCACGAAATATCTCACTTTTATTATTATATTTGCATGGCTCTAGTATATTGACTTTGGAAACAATAGACATCATTCTATTTATTGAATTCTGTTTTTAGTAGTGGTATTTCCATTTACAAAATATGGTAATTCTCAATCACTGTAAATGTCAAATCCTAGAAAACATAGCAGTCCTACGTGTGATGTTAACATTGTTCTCAAACAGTTTGCTGGCTGAAGATTCATTTGATGAATCCAATTTTTCTGAAATAGATGATTCTTATGATTCAGATGATTCTGATGTTAGTTCTGTTTAGAAATAACTCCAAGAACAGTTTTTATATTTCATTTTCCCATTAAAAATCAGTCAGATTTGCCTCAGCCTCAAAGAGCGTGTTTATGTAAAATTAAATGAGCGCTGGCAGAGATCTACACTTTTTTTTTCCCCCTAAATGGGAAAGGGTTAATAAGCCCATTTTTACATCTTAATTGACCCTATCTCTTTAGGTTACTGCTTTGGTCCTGAGCTCTAGTTCCCACGTTGCACTGTGATCCATGAACTGATTCTGTGTCCTGCACTTTTGTATGAATATCTTGCTGCAGCAAAATCAGAAGCCCTGTTTCTCCATGAGGGAATTATTTTCTCTGGGACTGTGATCTATTTCTGAAATCGTCCCCTGGATGTGGTCCCTGCTATTGTTACTGAAACACTAGAGGTTTGCTGTAGGACCTGCTGCTCACCTTGCAGAAAGCCAATGACTGAGAAGATTAATATTGCCAAGGAAGAAGGCTTTAATTGGGTGTTGCCACCAAGGAGCTCAGTCTCAAATCTATTTCCCTAACTGACTAAAACTAGGGGTTTTTATAGAAGGGAAGAAATATAACAATGTATGAGAAAACAGGAACTAGGGAGGAGTAAGGAAGCAAGCATGATGAATGAGGGGTCTGGAATCTCATTTTCAGGATGTGGTGATCTGGTGAGTTTCAGTTCTTTGATGCTTTTTTTTGAGAGGCTTGAAGGTCCTTTCCTGAGGAAGGAATTTAGATAAAACAAATATAAGTTTCAAGCTTTAAGATCAGAAAGGTCAATTTCTATGTTTATCAAATGGAACAGTTGATGGGACTATTTGGGTCAGTTTCACTACCTGCTACCAAACTCTACAAATACCATCAATTTATCTGTTAGTATCTCTTCATTGTGCTTGTTGCTGTATACCCGGGGCAAGCCTCTTGTCCTTTGCCAACACTGGGCTGTTCTTAATGTAGTGTTTTTCTTGGCACTTCAGTTCTGTTGCATTCTTGACCAAAAAAAAGAAAAAAAAATGCTTCTCTGAATGTAATGATGTGTAAACACCGGACACATCTCTCTTCCTTCCAGTCATAGCTTATCCTAATTTACTCTGGATACAGAGCTTCAATTGACAATTTGACTTTCGTTATCAATAACTACATCTTTCTTCAAGATTGTATGGCCCATAGCCAACGTATGTTTAGTATATACTAATTCTCAAAACTTTTGCTGAGTATGTAATTTTATATATATATATAATTTTAAAAATTCTATGGGTGAAAAGTCTCATTAGAAGAATCCTAAGAGGAAATGGATCTTTTCAGAGAATCTTTCATATTTTGCACTGAAAACAGTAGTTACACTACCATCAGGAATTTTCCACACACTTCAGAATGACTTCAACCTCTCAGTGAGTTTAATTGCCCAATATCCTATTTATATAAGAAGGAAAGGCGAATAAATATATAAAATTTACTGGGAGATGAGGAGAGGGAATAGTTGAATGCCAATGGAGAAAATTAGGATTTCTGAGAGGAAGTGTGACTTGAGGCCTATCTTGGGTAATATACGTGAGTTCTGCATGAAAGAAAGCATTCCAGATAGAAGGCATTCTACAGCTAGAAAGAGTTAAAAGCATGAGAGGGCTTTGTTCCCTGAAGAAACATTGATATGTTCAACATTGCTGAAGAGTTGAAAGGCAACAGTGAAAGGAAAAGATAACATGAGGTGAAGCTGATCCAGATCCTGTGAAGCCTTTAGACTTTATCATTAGGAAGGAAGAGTCATCAAAAACATTTGAATAAAGGAGTGGATGTTTTAGATTTGCGTTTTTGTCTGCCATGAGGAGAATATATTTTGAGGATCAAGAATACTCCACAGATGCACTATACTGATTCCATGCAATAATTTAAGGGCTTGTTGATTCATGATGTCAGCATCACCATTGTAATGTCAACATCAAAGTTTCTGGCTTTGAACTTGGGTGGATGGTGGTTTCATTGTCTCAGAGAGGTAAAAAACATGAGCCCCTGAGTGGTCAGTTGACTGGGATAAGACCATAAATGAGAGCAGAAGCAAAGCCCAGACCAGAGTCCAGACCTGCTGATAATAAAATCCAGTGTTATTATTACTAACAAAAGTAAAAATTTAACTTATGAATTGCAGGAGGAAGTTTGCTGCAAAGTCACTTTAATTACAGTTATCACAGGCAATAAACTTATTTATTCCAGGCAACTAATTGTTAACTACTTCCAATAGCATGAAAGAATTATATTCAGAGGTTACATAAAGGGAACAATTCCAAAAATTCCTGTTCCAAAACAACAAAGGCCACAACATTTACTTGGTGTTCTTTTACTTTTATTATCATTTATTTCCAAAATTCAAGAGAGTTCTTCACAATAGAAAGAATATAAAACTTGCTTGCATAATACTGTAGGTTATCTCCCTCATTTTTACGTGCTAGATAAACAGGGTGTTTTAAAATTATTGACATTGTAGAAATAACTCCAATGGTAATATATGATTGTTATTTATTTAATAGAAATTATATTCATGACATTTTATTTTTAAAAATAACTTAGACATCAGCCTAGTGTACCCTCTCTGTTAAAGTCCAGATGAGGTCCACTGAAACCCCAGAAGAATTATCTATGGATGTTCAGAGAGCCATGCAAGATTTATTCAGTTCTCTGGTAGACTTAAGTGTTTTGTGACTGCTTTTGTTACTGCTTTCTCTGCTCCTCACAGTTCAATCCAGATACTAAATTTGGCTTTTTTCTCACATTAATGACATTGCCATGACATTGCTAATATAATGCATTTATTAATAGGCTAAATGCAGTGGACAATAAGAGAGGAGGTGGGCTTGTATTGCAAGATTGTAGTGAAACCTGAACTTTAGACAAAACTCATTTTTAGATTTCCTCCAGCTATCACACCACCACTGAGGAGCTCACTGGCCTTTTTAGCTTCACATCATTTGACTTGCTCCTTTCCTCATCATAGTCTCTTTTTACTCCTTTCTTTAGTTTTCCCTACCTTAAGCCCCTACCCTCCTGGAATAAAGCAAATATTCCCCTTATCTCATTCAAAGCAGCTATTTCCTCGGTTTCCTGGCAATACATACCTCCTTAAAAGAAATTCTTCCTGTCAAAGGCAATTTCTTTCATAAGTGGGTTGCCAGTGCTAGTTGCTAAAATAATAATGTGTTTACTTTCTTAAATAACCTATCTGTGGTTATGATTTAAAGACATGGGGGCCTCTTCAAAGCACTCACCTTAGAAGAACTCATGTTTCTATTGATGATGTTGCTCTTATAGATGGATTTTGTTTTGTTTTGTTTTTATTTTGGGTTGCTCTTTCATTACTACTCTGGTGAGGCACTTAATTTATTCAAAAATGGTAAAGAAGTTTTATTATTTTAAAGAACTTCAATTAGCACTTTTATTTTAAAGAACTTCAGTTAGACTTTTCAAAACAAGTCTATAAGGGGTGACTATTTGACTATTCCTTTTGAAGTTCTATTTCTACAGTTTTAGTAAAAACCACAAGGTGCAGTGGAAGATAAAATGTCTTTCCTCACCAATAGTGTTGAATTCACTGGGCCATATGCTATTAGGTTGGTGCAAAAGTAATCGCAGTTTTTGCCATTACTTTCAATGGCAAAAACTGTGATTACTTTTGCACCAACCTAATATCTAACCTATTTTGTTTGGTTTTATTTTTGTATAGATTTTTAAAAATTCAAATAAGAAAATTATGGCTATATACAATAAAAAAGCACCATGTAATAAATTTACATATATGTTATACTATATTCTAGGCACTGGCCTACTTTACATTTACTGCCTCTTGTCTCACAACTCTGTGAGGTAGATATTATTATTCCCATTTTACAACCAAAGAAACTGAAGCACAGAGAGTTAAAACAAAAGAGAGAGAGAGAGAGAGAGAAGCCCAGTCTAACTCTAGGCTTATGCTGCCCTGGATCATCTCAGATAACATTCCAATTATAACAATGCTGAAATGTAATTGGTGAGTTGATCTAATAATTCATGCAATGCCTGCCTCACTGTGAAGCTTTCACTCATTCAACCTCTTATTAAATATATTTTGTGATATGAAAATACAACTAGTAAATATGTAGTAGCACATTTACAGCCTCTAAAGTTAATAGTATTGATCCTGTCAATGTTCTGCTCTGTTCTGCTTCTCTCATAGTGTCCATAAATTTATTCCCATTTGTTCCCATTTATTCCCAGTGAAGGTTACTTCACTGTTTTTAAGGCACCAGGCCTTGATGGACGTTACTGCTTTAGACTTTAAAATCATCATCACTCTAATAATCACTGTAGACTTCTTTATATCTAAGTCCTATTTATTTCCATTAAAGTATACTGCAACAAAAATAACGTACCATCTTTATTTACCATGTGGCTTAGTTAAGATGGTGATATAACTACCATTGTTATCAGAAACACTATCTGAACTAGTAAAACACTGTATCCCATCAGGAAATAACTTTTGAAATCAGATTGCATGGGTTTGAAACCCAGCTCCACTACATAGAAGCAAGTTACTTAACTGATTGGAACATCAGGTTCTTTATTTATCAAGTGGGAGCAATAGTATAATTAGGTTGGGTGCAGTGGCTCAGGCCTGTAATACTAGCATTTTGGGAAGCCGAGGTGGGCAGATTGCTTGAGCTCAGGAGTTTGAGACAAGCCTGGGCAACATTGTGAGACTTTGTCGCTACAAAAAAAAAAAAAATTACAAAAATAAGTCGGGAGTGGTGGCATGTGCCTGTAGTCCCAGCTACTTAGGTGGCTGAGTAGAAGGATGCTTGAGCCCAGGAGGCGGAGGTGGCAGTGAATCAATATCTTGCCACTGCACTGCAGCATGGGTGACAGAGTGACCCTGTCTCAAAAAAAAAAAAAAAAAAAAGAAAAAGAAAAGAAAAAAAGTACAAATGGTTCATAAGGAATATTGTAAGGATTATCTTTTCTGTTAACGCCACAAAAGACCACCAGAATAAACTGATGAAGAAGGAAACTGAGTTTATTTCCTGATCACCACCTTAGCAGATGTCTTAGTAGTCATAGAAAGGAGAGGCCAAGGTGGATATTTGTAGACATAGGGAATCTGGACTTAAGTAGTTTAAGGAAGGTCTTTTAATGTATTGTGTGAAGTATGTAACATAATAGTTTGGGATGGGTAGACATAATAACGAAGTTCTGGAGGTTAATTGATAAGCAACCAGTTTGTCTAGTTAGGCAATATATAATAGTCCTATGAAGCAGGCTGTTTACCCACGTGAGCAACTTACCCTCCTGAGAATGAGGCTGTTTGAACAGTTTATTGTTTGAATAGATTTATTTCCTAGTAGTTCTTGATGCATGAAATGAAGTTGTTTATGACTTTTAAGCCTTATCATAGTTCTGATAGGTAATCTGTGTGGTTGCTGGAAGTCTCAGTTCTGAACAAATGGCATGATCCATATAAAACACACAGCACAATACCTGCTATATAATTAGTATATCCACAAATGTTAGCCATTTATAACTGCCTCTTGTGTATGATGTTTCTTAAATCAGGGCTTGATAGATGGGAGACCTAGCCTAACTCTGACAAGATGCAAAATTTGGTAACCAGACAGAACAATAGAGTGGAGAAAGTGGTCGGGGACGGTCCCAGTTGTGCTTAGTAGGAGGGGGTGCAAGATGGCAGATAGCTCATGGATGGTCAGGAGGAGGGAAGAAGCAGAGATCTAAGCAAGCAGGCAAAGTATGATCCTCTGGGTTCTTCCAGCTGAAAATATTAAACAGAGATTAAAGTGAGTAAGCTGGAAGATCTACCAGCAGGCCAGATAAATTTAGGATTAGGAGCTACACATGATTTAAAAGAGCTGAAAGGGAAAGAGGCAGGACCCTTACTCCATACTGCTACATTGGACAAACAGGTAAAGCTTCCCTCAAGCCTAGATGGTCTAGTCACCAGATCTATTACTGAAATTTTTTGGGAAATAGTGAATATGAAATAAAAGTTTGACCACAGAAATTAAAGATAAAATACAAGATATTAGAACTGTGTCAATGATCAGAGTCCTACTAGCAGCATAGCTGACCCAAATAATTTTAGAGATCTTATCTATAATATTCTGTACAGTGCTTCATATTATAAGAATATTATAATAATAAATTACATTCATATCATTCCATTATAATTTCATATGTTCTCCTCCAAACTTCTGCAATGTAGATATCGGAGCAGTTTTACTCTAATTTAGGTGATGACAAAACTGAAGCTTAGAGAGTTTAGTCACATATTTTAAATGGCAGAATGGGGAGGAAACTACAGGTTTTCCAGACACAGATCTTGTTCCAATATGTCCAAATAGTAATTATGTTACTGAGGTTTGAGGGGAATGTGTTACAATTGGATGACTTGCAAACTCATTTTCATATACTCTTTCCCTTTCCCTTCTCTGTCTTTTGCTCATTTTTGGTTATAGAAAAAATCAATTGAAGATATGAAAAAAATGTTTTTTAAAAAGGTATTTCTACACTTCTATTTCATCTTGTAATAATGCAGAGATATGACTGGGGAGTTGATCTGATAATTCATACAATATGACTCCTCATTGCAAACCTTTCATCCATTCAACCCCTTATTAACAATATTTTTGTGACATGCAGAATGCTAGATTCTGGAGAGGCAGAGATAAATAAGGTGAACCTTCCTTCTGTTCTACTTTTAAAGAATCCCCTAGTCTATTGGATTTGATAGATTTATTGTGAAAGAGTATAAAAAAGTAAAAGATTAAGGCATGTAGAAGGTACAAGGCCAGGGAAGGGGGCCGTATATTCTAATATGGGATTAGGGAAAAGTAGAGAAATTCCTTGGCTTCCTGTTCCTATTTTGTCCAGCACCGCTATCTCCCACCTGAGATTCCTACGACATATTTCCAATGGAAGCCAAGAAGTATGGGAGCGTTGGAAGTACATCCTGCCCAATGACCCTCTCACCCCATCCCCACCAATAATCAGAAGAAAACAGAAGAAGCAAATAATTGATCTGATAGCAAATACACCAAAGATGAGTACGGCATCTCCCTGGATTTTAAAATAAAGATGTTTGGAGCAGATGAATACCAATCTGATTTTTTAAAAAATTGAATTACCCAAGTAATTATGACATAGAAACTTACTTTTGGAAGATTTAACACATTGTAAATATAAACCAACACACAGAAACCCATGCAAAATTTAGTGCTTCATTTTACTTCAGGCCCCAAGCTGCTCAATTATTATGAAACAATCACTTTTTGGTTGCCCAAGTTTTGTTTGCATGGATGCATGGGAGAACGATGAAATTTCTCTCTCTGAATATGAATGTTAATGATTGGGAAACATAGAAACCACACATAATTCTGCAATTCTCATAGCTCTTAAAATATATAGAGGACTTGCATTGCAAGTCTTTATTTTAATTAGTGTTATTAATATTCATTGACTGAGGTAGTAAAAGGCAACCACTGGCTCAATGAGCAGCAGTCCAACAAGTCATGCAAACTCCAGTGTTGACAGCCTTTGTTTGGAGTCCTGAATGGATTGTGTCTATCTAAATCACTGTGTAATCATGGATCCTTTGTGATTTCACATTCTCATCTTATAGTCAATTTTTATTTCTCTGATGTGGCATGTTGTGTTCAGTAGCTTATCTGAAAACATCAATATGGTTTTGAAAGGATAAAATCAAATTGTAACAGTTTATGTTTCTGTAATGTGTGCATAGCCTAGGGAAAAAGTGATAAATAGGAATACTATTTCACTGTATTGCTATGTTACAGACATTGGAAATATGATTCTGCCTCCATATTCTTTCCAAAGTAGATCAGCTGGATTTATTTTTTATATATTTATAAATCAACAGCTAATAGACCATGAGAACAGCATTAGTGTACATCCAGATGACAGAAGAGATTGTAAAAGAAGTGGAGAAGACTTTCTGACTTTCCCTGCTTTCGTGACAGTAAATATTGTCTTCTTGCTTTTATATGACATAAAGGTAATCTTCCTACTTTTATAAGATATAAACACACAAAGAGATGTTAACCTCATGCATCATATTTTAAAATGTTGGCATAAGCCTAAAGGTTTTACATGTTTCAAAGAGTCTATCTTTATGGTAAAGTACTTGAGTAACCATTCTCAACTTTGGCTACACATTTGAACTTCCAAAGAGTTTTTTAAAAATATTTTCACCTGTAGACACAGTCAGACACTTTAATCAGAATTTCTGTGACAGAAGCTCTCACACCTATAGTTTTTTGAGCTCATGAGATAATTCCAATGTCCAGCCAAGATTAAGAGCCACAGATATATTATCATAGAATTAAAAAAATAAACTTTCACTTCCTTGCAAGTATTACAAATTCAGCATGTCAATATAGTGTTAACTGTTGCCATGATAAAGCTTATGATTTCACTGGAATACCAGATTTCAGGCTCTTGATTTGGACATCAAATATTCCTTTCAAATTGATGAAAATTGCTATTGCCATCTGCCACTTTTACTCTCAAAGTTAATTACATATACATTGTGCTCTACAATAATGTCAATTTTGCTAATCCCATTTAGATGTTTACATAAAAGAAAACAAATAATAACTTCATAAGACATGTTGCTAAAAGGGTTATTTGGTCTAAATATACATAATTTCAATTCAAGCTGACATTTTATGCTTAGTTTTAATGAAGTGATCCCAGGGAAATTGGTATTTTCCTATCTGATACAACGATATATATATTTGAATGCAAGATTAAGGCACATTTTAATATGCTTTATTTGTTTCTAATTTTTCCAATTAATTTTTTTACAATTAATGTCATTTAAAACTTTTGATATAGCATTATAAAAGAATCTCAGGCAGAAATCATTAGTATTACTAAATTATTTTTATTGCATTATTATTACTACTTTAATATAGTACTGAAAGAACTATGCAGCTTGAGACTTGTATTCTGTGAAATGAAACTTTGAATTAGCCAACTTTGAAAGTCCTTTCCAGTTCCACCATGTGGAGATTATGAGCTTTACTCTGCAGCATATACCAAAGAATGTCTACCATACATTTCAGATGAGACCTTTGAGATTGCCTACCTTAATCTTATTATGTAAAAGATATAAAAACTGAGGTGAAAAGTGGTGAAATTATCCTTTTTATATCACAAAGAACAAATTGTCTTGTCTCAAGTAGAATAGATTATTAGCCAAGTTCTATCTATTTGTTTTGTTTTAAGTACTTATCCCCACTTCCATCATTTGTTCCTTGTTCATGTTGTTGTTCTTGTTTGTTTTGAATTGTTTCTGGAAATAACAGTGAGTTAAAAACTCTGCCAGCTTTATATATATATATATATATGTAATATTATATATAACATGTTAGATATTATTTATAATATATAGTATAACATATAGTATAAAGGTTTTTTTACACAAAACTTTAAATGCATTTTGTTGTCTAAACAAAAGAAATTATTGTATTCACATGTGTTAAGATGTGCAGTTTTTTCATTTTATGTGTCTGAAATTAGCATGAGTTTTTCAAACATGGTCACAGCTGTTCATATAGCCATTGCTTCATCTAGATTATGTGTACTCTTTGTACTGCATGTATTGAGTTTAATTGTCATTCACTATTTTTTCAAAAATATTACATTATTGTTCAATATTAGAACAAAAAGTTATTGTCTGAAGAGAACAAGATATGAAAGAACAGCAAGAATTAAATTTTATATGATTAAACAAAGATTTGTTATTGGGGGCATCATTACAATCCTACATTTGCCTGTTAATCAACAGCTGACTGATTTATATGGCTTTTTTCTTATCATGTCAGCCAAGGACCAGGAATGTTGGCACCACCAAGGATGGTATTATAAATGTAGAATCATGAGTTCATACCAGATCTACTGAATCAGAATCTGCATTTTAACAAGATCCGCACATAATTCATTTGCACCTTAAACTTTAAAAAGCAGGACTTTATAGTACCAAGGAAGATATCCACAAGAGGTTGACACTGTTTTAGATTTCTTGAGTTATATGCTAAATGTTTGTCCCTCATATGATAAGCAATACTATTTAAAGGCAAAGAAAGCTTAAATACATGGAAGAAACTTCAAATCTACAGGAAAATGATGTGACTGATTCATAAGTCGAGCATAACAATATTGATAGAAATCTAAGTCCAAATTCATTTAAAAGCTTTTTCTGTAAGCTCTATTTAAGTATTAAATGGACTCTAGTGATAAGAAAGCATTGTGCTATAATTTGACCACATTTTTTTCTTTCATAATAGTAGATAAAATCATATCTTCCCACAGATGGAACATTAACTTTGGTAAAATACAGACAATAATACCAGTTCATTGTACCACAAATTCATCAGAAATAATGAAAATCATAACTCTTGCTTATATAAATATATGCATTTAAGATAACTAGATAAACTGACATAGAAAAGAACTAATTTGTGTCACTTTAATAGTACAGAAGGAGTCTTCTTTGCTGAATGACTTTATTCAGCTTTATTGAGGTATATTTGACAACTAAAAGTTATATATACTTAAGGTATACAACTTGATGTTTTGATACACATAAACATTGTGAAATGATCAAGTTAACACGTCTGCCAGCTCACATCTTTATGATTTTTTTGATGTGGTGAGAACTCTTAAGATCAATTTCTTAGTATATTTTAACTACAGTATACAATACAGTATTATTAATTATAGTCACCATGCTGTGCATTAGATCTCCAGAAGTTATTCATCCCCCATAACTGAACCATTTTACCCTTTGATGAATGACTGTTTACACAGGAAGAAGAGGAAGAATTAATTAAAATATTAGCCCTATTTAATTTTTATGCTACATTAAATAATGACAGTGGAAGTTTTCTCTAAGTAAACATGATAGCTACATTAACAGTAAACTAATTCATTATAATTTTGACACATAAAATGAATATAAAGGTAACATTTGTGAGTGGATTTTTTTAATCACAAAGTAAAGCTTGGTAGAAATACTTTAAGATGCTGTATCGAAATATCTGCTTTTAGTTTGACATTTTAAATCATTTAATTGTTGGCATTTCGTGTAACATACAAAAAATGTTGATTGAAAAAATCTTTTTTAAAAAATGATGCTGAGTAGACTTTATTCACTGTAGTCCTTGAGTGAAGCCACTGGTTGTTGGCTTTTGGACTGCTTTTAGCCTGTTTTTCTAGTTGTACTTCTTTGAGGAGGATGATGATCTTTACCTTACTCTTGGCTTTGCATGCTCAAAGTGATTAGGTTTTTTTAATGAGGCAGGAGAATGGAAATTTGAGGAAAATGGTAGAGAGAACCCTCTCTCATTTACCAAGATGACTTTCTAAGTTTATTTAGTGATGAGCTACTTGGAGATACAAGTCAAATGATGAAGTTCATAGAAATCTTTTGAATCTTGCCACCAGAAAGAGATGACAATAAATCCAACTACTTTTCCCATGCCTTACATTTTTATTTTCTTATATGCACAGTATCTTTTGTATTATAGATGCTTAATAAATCTTTTTCAAATAAATGTATGCTGGAAAATGTTGTAATTGAGGTAAATGGACATTTTTAGCTGGCTATATTGCAGAAGACTTTATTGGGTAGGTGATCTTTTAGACGGTTTTAAAAAATAATGAAGATCTTAACTGGCACACAATCAAGTATCTGTTATATGCCTTCATCTTCCACATTTTATTGTATTTTTTTCACTCCCTTGTGAAGGAAACTAATTTCAACAATGCTGTATGTGTCATGCATTAACCCATTCATAATTAGCAAGAGGTATCTGATTCAGTTTATATTATGGTACTAATTATCTAGCTCTTCAGAATATTTTACATAAAAAAATAACCTCAGGTGAATAAACTTCTGTTTCTGCTCCAGAAACCTTTTGACATTTTTTAATAATCTGTAATCACGTTGACTTAAAATGACATGACAGAAATGCCTGAATGTTGACGAGTTGATGGGAGCAACAAACATCTGCCTGTTAAATTTGGGATCACCACCTACAGCACTACACATATCATTGATCCAAGTGTACCTTGATTGATTGCTTGAAAAGAAAAATCTGGACTTATTTGGATTTATAAGCAAAGTCAAAAACATTTTTCAAAATGTTAAGTTCTAAAAGTAGTAATAATGATGGTGTAGCCCCTTACTAATCAGTGTGCTCTGGGGACCAGCAGCCTCTAAATCATCTGGGAGCTTTTCGGAAATGCAGAAACTTCACCCTAGACCTAGTGAATTAGAATCTGCATTTGAATAAATCTCCAGGTGATGCTGAAATGGGAAAAGTTGCCTTCTCCCTCTCACACGGCGTGTGATGGGGCTGTGGCTTGCTTCTTCAGTGCCCCTCTGCTCAAATCTCTAGGGCAGTATATGGACGGACGGGCAGGTTGTGGGGCTCCGACCCCACAGCAGTGTTTAGGGCCCTAGTGGGAGCGTGCTACCGTGTGCTCTTTTAATTTTGCCATCTATAGGCAGCTTGTGTTAACCAGCTCAATTAGACCCTCTACCTTGTCACTACCTTGTCACAAGGACAGAGGACTTTCTGTATCCGGGGTTCTTGGCTTGGTGTACCGGAAGAGTCACATCACACTTGGGCTTGGAGAATGAGTGCAAGGTTTTATTGAGTGGAGGTAGCTCTCAGCAGATGGGGGAAGCCAGAAAGGAGATGGAGTGGGAAGGTTTTCCCCTGGAGTCCAGCACCTCAGCGGCCTGGGCTGTCTCCTCTGACTGCCCCAGCCAAATTCCGCCTCCTCCCACTGGTCAATGGCTTGCTGGCTTGCCGGTGCCTGCTGGTGCATCCCTCTCCATGTCTAGCCGTCCGTGCCTTCCTCCGCTGACTTGCTCCTCTCCACACCCAGCTGTCTGTTTCATCCAGCTGTCTGTGTCTTCTCGGGCAGATCTGCTCTTCTGGACGTCCAGCAGCTTGTGTGTCTGCCTTCTAGAGTCTGGGGGTGGTGGAGCGGGGGTGGTTATAGGCACAGGATGGCAGGCCAGGGCGGTCTTGGGAAATCCAACATTTGGGCAGGAAATGCCTGTCCTCACCCAGGGTCTGTAGGGGTGGAGCCCTAGCCAGGGACCACGCCCTCTTCTACCCAGCACTTCCCTTCCCTTCTTCCCTGTCATTTAAAGGGACCACGCTCTTACCTTCCCAGCACTTCCATATCAGTGACTGTGCACATTACAGTTTGAGAAATGCTGGTAGTCCATTCCCTTTCCTGATCTCCAAAACATAGGGAAATTTTAGAGGCCAGGATGCATTTAGTAGATTCTGAATCTAAAGGAAACCTAAATCATTCCTTGGAAGTAGACATTGTTTATAGCATCCTCAAATGGAATTAAAAGCATATATGACTAGATTTAGAACAGAAAAATCTGTTTTACATATTTCAAAACCCTTTGGACCCTTGTCTGTTTATGTTCCTATGACTTCTTGAGTTATACATTTTTATTAACAAATGATAAAATTATATTCACTAAATGAACTCATTTGTACCTGTTTTACCAGTTTCAGAATGTTATTTTATATTTCTTAGGTTTTTCTTAGACTTGTAGAAATCATGCTGCTTTGTTCCCTGCAGGAGTTAAAATAAAAATATTAGTAATTATGCATATTTAATTTTCAGAATGCCAACTGATTACTCACAGCAGTTATAAAAGGGAAATGATTTTAGATATTCATAAAACATTTCCTTAGTAAGGGGCTTTCAAGTCTGAAGTTGTGTTATTATGGATATTTCTTTTTAAAATAATCAGGATAAAAAATGCATTTATTAAGATCCCTCTTCTTTTCTCTTTTTCAGATGTAAGACAAAAGTCTACCCTGATGAACTTCCAAACACAAGTGTAGTCATTGTGTTTCATAATGAAGCTTGGAGCACTCTCCTTAGAACTGTTTACAGTGTGATAAATCGTTCCCCACACTATCTACTCTCAGAGGTCATCTTGGTAGATGATGCCAGTGAAAGAGGTACAAACTGGTTTTTTGTTTTTGTTTTTGTTTTTTTGTTTTGTTTTGTTTTGTTTTTTTGTATTAGAAAGCTTTATTATGGCCAAAAAGATAACTAGGCAATGATCTATATTTGCATTATAATTTTACTAGCCCTGCCACAGCCTATCAGATTCTCATCAAGAACCTCATTAATGCCAACTCTAGAAGCAAATAACTAATTCTTTCACTTTCTCTCATGATTCTATATGGTTCTTACCTAAAATTTCAGCCAAAATGACTTTCAAAAATATATCTTTTTTCCAACTCAATTGATTATATTATTGAGCATTCTCATATGATTTTATGGATACTTGACATTAATTAACTAATGAAATCTCTATTATTTTATATCTAAGGCAGTAAATACTGATAGGAATTGGCCACCATTTCTGTGTGTTGAATTTCCATCTTGGTAGTATCTCTGCTATTTCTTAAAACAGTTTCAAAAATTTTTCTTATAAATTCTTATACATGTTACAGATTTTCTCAAGTTGACATTAGAGAATTACGTGAAAAATTTAGAAGTGCCAGTAAAAATTATTAGGATGGAAGAACGCTCTGGGTTAATACGTGCCCGTCTTCGAGGAGCAGCTGCTTCAAAAGGGCAGGTCATAACTTTTCTTGATGCACACTGTGAATGCACGTTAGGATGGCTGGAGCCTTTGCTGGCAAGAATAAAGGAAGACAGGTAAGAATTTATGTGTTCTGTCTGCCTGGGTTATGACTGAACCTCTTAGGACAGTTCCAGATGTCCATCAGAATTTCTCTTCCAAGTTGCTATTTTTAGAAGGTTTATTTTATAGCTTTTCTTAAAAGCACGTTTTCCCACTTGCTTGATAAATAAGACTGCTGTATTCATGCTGGACATAGATAGTTGATTAAGAAATAGTGAAATAATTCAAATAATAAAAACGTGTTAAATTACTTTTTAGGTGAAGGAAATAAATATAATCTAAAATAGTATAATTGTGTTATAAAGCACATTTTCAAAGCACCTTTTTGTGTTCTGACAACCACCCTGTGAGGTAGGTACTGTAGATATTCTTATCTATAACTTATAATGAGGAGGAACAAAGAAGCCACATCTAACTTGCTCCTGTCATTGGAAGTGCTGGGAACAACAATTCAGCTCTTTCCAGTTCTCTGCCAGTGTTCTGTAAACTACACGAGCACCCTTAGTCAGTCTAGTTCAAATCCACCTGGAATGTCTTAAAAATGCACACACACACATGCACACACACAGCACTGAAAAAATTATAATTAAAAAAAGAAACATAAGAGCACAGCTATAAGAATATGTTTAATTATTTCAACAATGTCACCTTATACATACACATTTTGAAATCTGGAAAATTGAATAAATAACACTTATAGAAATTAAGAATCCTTATACATACCTGCAATTCCTTCTGTTGTTGATGAAGTACAAGCATTTTTTAGCAAATATTTATAAACACTGGTGATAAGAGAGTATAATTTCTAAATACCTAGATAACTAACATTGAATGCCAACTGATACAATAACAAAACATTACATAACACCATACTTGCATAGTCATTTCGTCTATAGTAGAAAATTCCTTCTAGAATTGACATTTTTAATTAGACACTCAAGATAGGAGCTACTTAGTCTGAGCTAGTCCAGCCACATCACTTAAACAGCAGGATTTGGTACTTGCCAGGAAGATGGATGGAAGCTGTCAGTAAAATGAAGCACAGCAGTTGAAGAAAGCAGTAGGAACCTTTTAGTCCATAGAGTGTTGTACATGGCTAATAACATTTTTCCACTCTGTGTATTGTACAGTACCCACAGGACAATCAGACTGGCAAAGTAAAATGAACTTAAAAATGAATTTCCTGGCAAATTTTGGTACATTATGTTGTTTTTTTTTTCCACATGTGTTTCATATTCAACTGAATGAGCTTTTAATGTTTCAATACGGTCATACATAGGCTATTTATTTTTTTGATCTAACAACATAATTGCACTGTATTTGCATATGATGAACCCTATTGTCTTGACCTGATTATAAAGTTTAAAACTACCCTAAATAGACAGTCTGTTCAAGATTTTTAGACCTAATTTCTTCTCCTCACAAGTTAAATCATTAAATCTAATAAAGGAAGTGAGAAAAATGTTGATTTTTCTGGGGTCCAGAGTCACCAAGAAGGTTTTCCAAGGCTAGAGGAGTCTTGTTGATCGCAGATAAGTTGAGGCTCTGGTCAGTTGTGTGGAATATAAGACTTCAATTGAAAATGAGTATTGGTGAAACTGGTGTTACAAAACAAGTATGAATAATGGACATTTATGTGCTTTTCATATCTAGGGATGATTCAGAAGCTTATTTGTGTATTTACCTTCTACCAAATATGAAAAACCAACTCTGGTCTTCAGAATTAGCTACAACCAATACAATTTGAGTAGGCCTGAACATTTACTTGTGGAAATCACAGAAGGTTGGTCCCATAATAAAATAAATGAACAGGCATTAGATCAAGAATTAGAGAAGGCACAACATGGATTAAAAGTGTACCTAATGATTTTCCCAAATGAAATTTTCTACCATAGAAAGCTACCATTAAGAACACCAACCTTTCTCTTACTTTAAGAAAAATGGGATAGGCCAGGTGCGGTGGCTCACACCTATAATCCCAGCATTTGGGAGGCCAAGGCAGGTGGATCACCTGAGGTCAGGAGTTCGAGACCAACCTAGCCAACATGGTGAAACTCTGTCTCTGCTAAAAATACAAAAATTAGCCAGGTATGATGGCAGGCACGTTGGGAGGCTGAGGCAGGAGAATTGCTTGAACCTGGGAGGCAGAGTTTGCACTGATCTGAGATCTCCCCACTGCACTCCAGCCTGGGTGACAGGGCAAGGCTCTGTCAAAATAAATAAATAAATAAATAAATAAATAAATAAATAAATAAAACACCAGAGATTAAAGTTGCTTATCTTTCCCTATCTTAAGCTATCATCTAGATTATACATGTAAACTCTTAATTTGAGGACATTTTACTCAGAAATGGTCATGACCCTATCATCTTTCATCGGAAACATTTACTTATACTGACGGATTATGATTTTTGTTGTTGCTGTTTGTTGATTTCTGTTTGTTTTTCCTAGTAGGTGTTTTCTCCATGAAGATGTTCTCAGAACTCTCTAAACTAACGTACCCTACTTGAAATGCAAACTACCAGATCTAATTTGCCATCATCCCTTCTTACCTCCCTGAATGCTATTTCTTTTCAATGGATTATAGCTAAAATGATGCATAATCTCAAAGCAGCTCTACTAATCATGCTGTGGGTGGAGGTTTTATAAAAAATAGACCCTGCTCATCTTGCTAAGTTAGTACTTAGAATGCATTTGGAAATAAACTTGTTTAGATTTCAAAAGATAGCATAAAGTAAACTGTAAGGAATATGTAGTCAAAGGAAATAATTCCATGGACTAATAGGATAAAATGAAGCTAAAGGCATATTAAAGTAACAAAATAATTAAATTTCCTCATATCAGCTATAATCAGTTTGAAGAAGATAATGTAACATTTTAATTATCATGTGTCTATAAATTGGTTTTAATTTCTCTGCAGGAAAACGGTTGTCTGCCCTATCATTGATGTGATTAGTGATGATACTTTTGAATATATGGCTGGGTCAGACATGACTTATGGGGGTTTTAACTGGAAACTGAATTTCCGCTGGTATCCTGTTCCCCAAAGAGAAATGGACAGGAGGAAAGGAGACAGAACATTACCTGTCAGGTATGTAGATCATATCTCTTGAAGATTATGTATATCCCCCTAAAAATTAAGGAATATTATAGATTTCTGTTCTAATGTTTAATTATTTAATTGTATCCTTATTATTCAATATACATATACATTATGACCTTTACATAATCATATAAGGATCAATGACAATATTAAATCTAATTTAAATTAGTATAGGCAAACTTAAGTATTGGCAAAAATGCTAAATATCTTTTGAAAGTTTATGTATTCTTGTATTCAAAATATATTTACTGTGAATTTTCTATGTGACAGAAATGTGCTAGCCTTGACACTTCAAGTAAATGTGTGTCTTACCTTAAAGTATAGATTTATAATAGAAATGTTCTCAAAACTGAAATAGCCAAAAATGTTTTGGTAAGTATTCTAAATATACCACCTTTAAAAGGTTATCTTCCTTATAGATTCTATAGGTCCATTTGGAAAATATTAATGTATTCAAAATTATGAAGGGCTTATTATCCCAAATTACTTCAAATACTACTTAAGTTGAAATCCTGATTAGTAAAATATGCACTTACTTGTAATAAAAAATATCATATACATCTCGAATTGTCTGTATAAGCATTACCCACTTTATTAACACAAAAGTATCATCTTCCTACTTAAACACATTGTGGACCTCTTACCTGAAACTAAAAATCGATTTCCTGAAAAATACTTTCGGAAGTATTCACTAGTTTAGTTCTTTAAAGATGAATTTGGCAAATCATCCTTCCTTTGGAACATGAGAGAAATACCCTAACATTCTAGAAACATACACTTTAAGTCCTCACTTAGCATTGTCAACAGGTTCTTGGAAACTGCAACTTTAAACAAAATAACAAAAACACTGTCATCAATCTTATAATGGAAGGACATTGAACTAAAGGATGTTACTCGAGGACCTTTTGTTTGTCATTTCACTTAAAGTTGCAACAACATTAAGTGAAGACTTACTGTATGTAAAATCCATGATCTGAACAAGAATGTCTGGTAACCTACTGAAGGGATGACTTATCTATTGTCACCTACTTAATTATATAAAGAATTAATTAAAATTAAACTCTAAAAATAGGCTAATGGAAGAGAATGGCTAAAGGTATTTGTTACTGAACAATTAAATATTAGGGATGTTAACTTCTAAAGAAGATCTGTTACATCAAAGAGAAAAATAAAATGTGACTTCTAACATTTGTATAAAGTCATGTAAGTTATCCTGTCAGTATTTAAAATGTAACTTAGTAGTCTTAAGTCTTGTATAATCTTCAAATTCACCAAGTCTTATTGATACTTACCTTTAACAAACTGGGAAAATATAGTGGCTCATGTTACCATCATTTATTAGATATTCTATTTTCCCAAATTGTTTTCATTTAGTGTTAGCTGATTTTTAAACTTTAGATTCCGAGTGAAAACTATCAGAATGCTTGACCAATACACTTACATATAGATAATGTTTTTATTCATTTGAAAATGCTGTTTATAAGAAGGCATGTTTATACTCATTTAAAAAAACACATTGGCAAAAAACATGCTTTATTTATGTTCTCACAGAGTCAAACGGAAGATAACTAAGAGGTAGCCAGCATTCACAGTAAGAAATTACTGATCTCATTCATAAAATAAAGATCTATGTAGAAATCAATCATTATTACTCATCTTTCATTAACTAAACCAAAAGATGAATCATCTAACTTCCTATATTTTAACCATAATTTATGTGGTTGTATTGCAGTAATATGAGATCTGATAAAATCTCAGTATATTTTGTTTCCTGCAGTAACGGCACATCATTTTATTTTCTAACATGCTGAGGAAGCTGAAGTGAGAGAAACAGAGAAACCTCAGTCTTTGCTGAAGTTTCTAGATTTTTGTGGCAAAAGGTTAATTAATTCATGGGTTCGGTTGTAACAGCCTGCAGGTAATTTTCATCAGCATAGCTGTAATGTGAACGTTCCTTCTACTTGTAATCTATTGCTTGAAGATGTGATCATTTTTCTCACATTCATACAAATAGATAAATCATTCTAGATGTTGAAGACAATTTTTTTCCTACTTGATTAACAGAATTCTGAATAGCTAAAGTGATGAAAATGAAGCTGAAATTTTAGTTTTCTTAGTGGAATGCTTCATTTAAAATGTCAGTTATGATAGAACTTTGTAGTCACCATAATTGGCTAGTCATCATTTAGAAATACAATCATGCATCTGCTTACATTGAAAGCCAAGTTGAACTTGTGACCTAAATCAGTTATACTACATCTAAAGTAAAGCTTAACATGGTCATTCTTATTTTTCTGGGCTTTGGTATTTTCATTTTCATAATAAATGGAGTTTGTGAAATACTTGTTAATTTTCATATTATAACTATGGAATAATATACATAATTACGAATATATATTTTCCTTTAATCAGTAATATATAGTTTCCTTTAATCAGTAAACTTTCCTTGACATTTAATAATCAAATTATATGACTTTTCAAGAATATTTCAATTATATGTGCAACAAATAGTACTTTTTAAACTGGAGGTCATAAACTAGGAGGTTTTGTGCCAAATATTCTCTGTAGAAGTGTTTTATTTGGCATACATAGTGTTTTACATTTTCAAAAATTACCAACACTTTAAAAATGAGATATTTTAAATAAAAATCTGGATTTCCATCTACTAATAAGTCAGAAGATCTTGCTACAATGGACCAGGATTCTTACCTGGCACCATCAGGTGGAATTTAATAGAAACTGCCCATGTAGAAATGGCATGAAAACTTTTCCCAATCTCCACAACTCCTTCTAAATTATGTTCCTGACACTGAGGCTGAGGGTCATTTGACATTTGTCAATATTCTTGAAATTGAAGAAATATTTCTCTGCACCTGTGTCTTGAGGAAAGGGGGAAAATATATTTATTGTAACAAATCCACTTTATATAATTATCTTTATCTGGCTATAATCTTTTAAAGTTTTGACCCTGGTCTTAGAGGCTACTGCCTGGGAAATGGCTGAGTTTGAAACTCATCAAGCATATCACCCCTGTATAACTATGCATATACATTACCTAATAGAGTAGGCAACTAGTAGCAAAGTTACCTGATAATGCAAATAATACTCTAGATCATTTAATTAATTTGGGGATGAGTTATGCATTTTTTCCTAACACATACAAATGGGAGGTGATTTGGTTTAGGCTATTGAAATAAGTTTGATTCCATACAAAAACAAACATACAAACTGTTCTATTTGTATTCCATGCATACAAACTATTGGGCGCTGTGCTAAGTTCTGCACATACAAGCATGGATAAGGCTACCTATGCTGTAAAGTTGCTCACTGTCTGGCACTGGCCACAGGTATGCTCGATGAGGGAAAGAGTCTAGTGTAAATGGTCCAAGTGTGGATGTACAGGAATAATTATGTCTACTACTAAAGTGGTGTGGACCTCTAGAAAGGAGCCTGGCTTAAGTCTTATTGATTGCTTTAGTCTCTTAATTATGCCCTGTAAGTGAACCTCAATAAATAATTATGAAGATATTCATTTCCACTTTAATTTCACACTGATTAAAATAGATTTTTTAAATGAAAAACCTACTGGTAATTTCCAAGTGAATTTAACTTTTTTCACCCTTCACATCTTACCTTATGGACTCTTTTACCTTTAATCATCATTAATATTTTTAATATGACTGCCTTCATTTTTACTTCAAGTGCCATGTTGAGTATATTTCTAAAGTAAAACAAAAGAGTTTTAGATGTTCTTTTAATTCTGATATAGTAATAAATCAAACATAAATGTTATTGGTTTTTATTTCAGACCTATTTTACCTAATTTTATATTCCTTTTTATTGACATTCAGTTGATTTCATGCATTTATTTTTCACTCAATTAGAATTAGGAGTTTATGAAGATCAAATAAATCAAATAACATCATTAGTATCTCTGATTATAATTGTATTTTATTGTGAAAAACTCATAGAATGTTCACATATATTATCTCCTCTATCATTCTAGTGTGATCATAGAAGAAGCATTGAAACTAGCCTTGGAGGATCTAGTTTTATTTCAAGCTCCTCCAATTGAGAAATTACCTAGTCTTCTCAACTATAAAATGGAAAATTATTCTCCCTGCTTTGCTTAACTCATGAAGTGCTATAAAATATTGAAATGAGCAATGTCTTTGATATGAATTAGGTTTTAAATTTATATCTGATAATGTAACATATAAATATTGCAAAATAAATGTGACAAGTACCCAAAAGGATGAAGAAGCAGAACACCAATGAGCCATCTCTTTTAGAATTTGGTTGTATTTTCTTCTAAGGCTTTTCTATTCAATTTCTCTACAATGTAAATTTGATATATCATCAATATTTTTCTATGCCATTATTTTTCCCCACATAGGTTTTAATGGCTGCTAATGTCTCAATTACTTACGATGTTTCTCTATTTTTTTTGTTGACTAAAGTTCATCAAGAGTTTGTTTGCACTTCAATTTTTTTATCAATTATTTCTTCACCTAGTGTTTGCATACAAAGTGATTGCTTTAGAATTATGCATTTGAATATGAAATTTGTTTTAATATTCCTGACACCTTCTGCCAATTTAATTCCTCCCCAAAAATATTATCACTGAATCAATTTATAATTTCACTAAGTATAATAAATTAAAAACACAAATGTTACTCTTTAACATCTTATACAAATATAAGACAAAGTTTCTTATATTTAGTAGTAACAAATAATTTACTTCTTAATTTTTATCAGATTGTATTAGACTTTTCTCAATCCAACCATAATATACGTTTGGATTGCAGGAAAGAAACAGAAATAGATATCACCAAAGCCTTTAAAACACTTCTATAAAATAAAAGATATGAAAACAACAGCACAGGGAAAGGTCAACGTTGTGAGCAGAACAAAGACTGAAAGAAATAACTAACTTTGGAATGCTCAACTAGTCAATGCTCTTGCTTACTCCTGTTAAAATCTAATGTATGTTGATTGAGAGAAGTAAAAAATTATCTCCTCAGATAAAAATATTTGAATCTATATTCTATGAAAGAAAGAGTACTTTTATATTATATTACTTTCTAATAGTTTAGGGGATAATTTGGGAGACTTTCTTAGCAGCCTGTTGGGATGAGAAGAAAACTAGGGTAATAGAGTGCTAAGTTAAATATTACATTTATATACTGAATAATTTTGTCACATGAACCAAAATATTTTATGACATCTGATCCCAGCTGGCCCCATTGTTTATTTTGATCCCTCGTAAGCATGAAATGAAAGTACAATGAAAGATTAAAATTTGCACCAATTACTCTACATCCTTGTGGAAGCTTAGGGTTTTATCAGGTCCTAGGAATTATTAAAAAGGATTTAGGGAAAAAAATAACTACTCCTTTATTGGAAATATAGATGTTTAAGCACAAGTTTAAGTATTTGATTCTCATGCTTATTGGTAAGTGGGTTCTTTGGCAGCAAAACAAATCATTTGCCCATACTAAGCAGAACATTATATTTTTCTTATTCCTTAAAAATGACACAAATTGTTTGTGTTTCATCGACTCTGCAGGATTTTAGTAAGCTTCCATGTCTAGAGCCTAAGCCAGCATAAAGTCTTAAAGTAACAATTTCTTCTCTACAGAAAGCCACATCTTCATACCCAAACACAGGTTCAGATGATTGTAATAGTGTGCGGTATCCACCAAACTTCCCATTTTTATCAGTAAAAACTTTAATTACATTCAGCATTTAATTATTCATCACTCTGATAGAAAAGCATTTGTGCCTCTGCTTCCTTTCTCTTTCCTCTGCTTTCTATTTTGGTTATAGTGCATAGAATAAGGAAGAAAGGAGAGAAACTCATAGCATTTCATTTCCTTTGGGTTCCTAAACCTACAAAATGATTAACCTAATAAAGCCATTAGATTTTATAATTTAAAAAAATCAGACGTGAAGATTTCAGCTATTCATGCTCATATTTGTAAATGTAAAAAAAACCTTATTTTTATTACTTATCTTTATTAATTTTATAATCTATGGAAAATGTAATTAACACAGATCTAAATACTAACAGTGTAGATATTGTGTTATTTGAACATTATAAATAATAGCTTAGAACTAAGCTGTGGTCTCTGAAACATTCTTAGGAGTTTTTCCTCCAAGGCCCTTGATTATTTGCCAAGTAAGATTAAATAGAATCCTGATGTATCCAAAGAAAAAAATAGAAGGAATGATGTTTCCAGAACTTTGAGAGAAATTGTTTATGAAGGGCAGTCCAAAAATTCACAGGAAAACATGGTACATAAACATGGAGCTTGAAATCAGGAAACATGTACTATTTTAATTTATTTTATTTTATTATTATTATTTTTTTTTTTTTGAGATGGAGTCTCGCTCTGTCACCCAGGCTGGAGTTACAGTGGCGCCATCTTGGCCTACCGCAAGCTCCGCCTCCCGGATTCACGCCATTCCCCTGCCTCAGCCTCCCAAGTAGCTGGGACTACAGGTGCCCGCCACCATGCCCGGCTAATTTTTTGTATTTTTAATAGAGACTGGGTTTCACCGTGTTAGCCAGGATGGTCTCGTTCTCCTGACCTCGTGATCCGCCTGCCTCAGCCTCCCAAAGTGCTGGGATTACAGGCGTGAGCCACCACTCCCCGCTAGGAAAAATGTATTTCTAATTAACTACCCCAAATCTTTTGCTGTATAAGGTATATGGACGAATGGAAAAAGATAGATAGATAGATAGATAGATAGATAGATAGATAGATAGATAGATAGATAGATAATAGATAAGGAAAGGAGAGGAGAGAAGAGGAGAGGAGAGGAAAGGAAGAAAGAAAGAAAGATGACTTTTTTATCCATGCTACCAACTAGTTAGGGGTCCTTGAACAAGGGACTTAAACACATTGCAACTAAATTTTTTGACCAAAACTGTAGGGATTTTAGAGCTCTGAAATATTACATATCTGAAAATTAATTGGACCCAGAAAACAATAAAAATGAAGCAACTTATAATCTTGGTAAACAGAGATGTTTCTCCTTTTTTGATAGATAATATCTAAAATGTATACTATAAGCTTTGTGCTGGTATTGTTTCAAGACTGTTACATGTATTAACTCACATGATCCACATTTTATAGGTGATGAAACTGAGGCACAGAGTTTAAGTGACTCAATGACAGTCAAACACTGTGGGGCTGGGGTTTGAATCCAATCTAGCTATGAAGTCCAGACTTCTAACAACTAAATTTGGCTGCCTCTTGGGGTCTCATTACCTCTATACAGGGTGATTATCACAGCGTGAAATACAGGATATATTGTCTTCTTGGTGAAAATACAGACATTACATTTTAGCATTACTGAATAATTAAATGTATTCTGTCACAATTTCTGTTGATTTACCAACTTCTGGTGAAAAACTCCAGCATTTTTCCATGTCAAATGCATACTTTTTTGAGACTTTTACTATTTTACATAGTTACAAAGCTTCATATCTTAAATTCTAAAATACTATCACAAACTAGGCACTGTAGCATGCACCTGTCATCCTGAGACAGGAAGATAGCTGGAGGCCAAGAGTTCGAGATTATCCTGGGCAGTATAGTGAGACCCAGTCTCAAAGTATAACTAACCAAATAAATAAATAAAATACTATCAAACTCAACCCCTAAAACTCCTATTAGATGATAGAGCCTTTGAAAATCTTGCAATTAGTGAAATCATCTTTGTTACTCATCAATTTAGCAGGTGCGAGCAAAGAACATTTTTGGAATTTCAGAAATAAAATTGCAGATAATTTTAACTTTCAAATAGATTGTTCTGTGGCTATAGAGATACATTACTCATTTGTTTGTTATTCAGTAAATATCCATTAATAGTCTAATACTATTAAACCAATGTATTGGGTATGCTTATAGAAGTGGTGAAAAGTACACAAATAAATATAATACTATATACAATAAGAATTGGCCAGTTCCTTGAGATACACAGTGATAAGGGCTTATAGAAGAAGGTGGAAGGGGAAGAGTATGTCTTGATTGAGGGAGCAGGGGGACGGGGCAGTGGTGTTGAAGGCAGGCTGCCTAGAGTGTATAACATTTGTATTAGACTAAGAATAATCAAATTTGAACATATAAGGGGAGTTTTCAAAGAAAAATCCAGGTGACCAATGGATGTGAACAAATATACCAAGGCACAAAAATGTAAAGCATTTACCAGTAACAGCTAAACACTTTACATGCAGGGAAATAGTTAAAGGGGGTTGAGAGGAGCTCGTTGGGTAGCCCCATTGTTTATTTTGATCCCTCGTAATCAAATGGCTAGATTACTGATGCCAGGATAAGAAGCTAGATTTATTTCCTTAACATAGATTTTTGAACATCTATTAACATTTTTAGAGGATCATCAATTTAGAGAAATTAATCTGGCTATGGTTTTTAGGATAAATTTCAGAAGCAGAAGAATCTAGAGGCATCCAGATCCTCTCAGCATCTAGGCATCTTAGCATCTAAGAGGACCCCATTATTAGCAAACATAGAAGACTAAAAGTATCACTATGATAACAGAGATGAGTCAAAAATACTTCAGAAAAAAAAAGAAGTATTTTGGAAATAATTGAATTAGGCATAAAAAATGTGGTTTTTCATTTTATATTAAGAGACTGGAAAGAAATATAAGACATTAAAAGAGAGACAGATAAGTAGCAAATTTTCAGGTCTATGATGTACACACTGAACAGAGTCAAAGGAGTTTTTTGGAGGAATCATCTAGTGAGTAACTGCAAAAGCACAACTTATGCAGAGGAAACAAGTATGGAAACACAGATTAGGAGTGAACCATAAAGGTGACAGTGAAAGGTATGTGATGAATGATCTGATCTTACCCACACAAAGAGCATAGAAAGAGAAAAGTGCCCCTGAGAGACCCTTGGGAGGACTAATTTCAGATGAGAGAAGAAATTATTAAATGCATATATCCACAAAATAATATTATAATGGTATATTGCACCCACGTGATAGATATGAAACTAAGAGCTTGTCCAAAGTCTGACAGCAAGGAAAAAGGAGGGGAAGGGGATGTCAATAAGAATCATAAAATTAACAATCAGATTAGTAGAAGGGAAACCTCTACAGAACAATGCAATAGGAGCTAGAAACAAAAATGATTTCAAGCAGGAAGCCTGATGTATTGTGCTATATACTTTCAGAGGAAAAAGTTAAGGACAGGTTATTGGAGTTCAAAATCAATGGGGACCTTTCAGAAAGAAGTTATTGTAGAGGCGGGAGCAGGATCTAGCTTCTAGTTGAAGGTTAAAAGTTGCTAAGGGGGTATGTAGAAAGCATCCTTTCAAGAAGGTTACCAGGGAAGGGAATAGAAAATATATGTGTCTGGTTTAACAGAGTAGTAAGGTGGAATGAAAATGTTTTTTGGTTTAGGATAGAACTTAATTCAGCAGGCTTGTAAGCTCAAGGGAACAATCTAGAAATCCAAGGCATAAAACATAAATGTTAATAGTCGATGAGCAAGGGCCTGAAAGAGTAGTTAGGAGTCTGTTGAGGCCACAAGCATGAATGCTAGACCACAATGAGAGGAAAGGAGCTATTCTTTTTTATGAGACAAGAGGAGAGAGGAGGCCATGAGGAAGACACATTTTTAAACATGTTGAGCTAGAGATTGAAGGAGTTTAGATTTCATGATTGAGATAATTTAGATTTCATGCATTTCCTTGATCCCCAGATGGTTGAGAAGAGTCCAAAACTTTTGGAAAGACTCAGGCCAGGTGTGGTGACTAACACCTGTAATCCCAGCACGTTGAGAGGCCAAGGTGGGCAGGTCATTTGAGCCCAGGAGTTCAAGATCAGCCTGAGCAACATAGCAAAACTCTGTCTCTACAAAAAATACAAAAAGATAGCTCGGTATGGTGGTGCATGCCCGTAGTCCCAGCTATTCTGGAGGCTGAGGTGGGAGAATCATCTGAGCCTGGGAAGTCGAGGCTGCAGGGAAATCTGATTGCACCACTACACCACTCTAGCCTGGGTGTCAGAGTGAGACCCTGTCTCAAAAAAAGAAAAAAAAAACTCAGTTAAAAATAAGGTAAACAAATAGAGAGCAGGATTGTTAGCAGTTTGTGAATTAAGCAGAGAATCAATAATGTGGACTTGTCCTATAACCAGTTAACCACATCTTATTACTTTCCCAGTGTCTTAATAGCAGAAGTAAATGAAGTGAAAGGTAGATTCACCCAAGCACCAAAATTTAAAAAAAAAAGCGAGAGAGATAATTGGAAATTGCAGAAAAGCAAGCACAGAGAACCAAAGTTCCTAAGCTAGTGTTTTGCTGACATGGCAGAGCCTTGGAAATGGATTGGAAGAAGGGAAGAAGAAATTCCTGAAAGTTGTTATTAATGTGAGACTATGGATTAACTAAGGAACCATAATCACCAATAAAGGATAAAATGACTTCTTATGAAAATAGGAGGGGTTAAAGAGTAAGAAGTTATGCTCTGAGGCAAATTTCAGTCAGCATCTTGGATATGAGGTAGTTCTAAATGGTTTTGAAACCTAAAGTGAGGGTATATAGAGAGAGAGGAGCCCAAATTAAATGAAGGATAGCAAGGATTTTACTTAAATGATTAACATCAATAACAACAACAACAAAGATAAATTACCTACCCTTATTAACTGTTGGTTATGTATTGAGAACTGTGTTAAGTGCTTTACTTCTGTTAACTCAGTTCATCTTTCCTACTTACTATGTGTGGTAGGTAGTGTTCACAGTCATTGAGCTGACTATTCCCCTCTCGTTCAATTGACTGTTTGGTTGCTTGGTTTGACATTGTTTAGACACAACCTTGAAAAGCAAATAATTTCAGTTAATTTAACCATAATCAAGATTTTTCATTTTCTAGATGCTCTGAACACTTAAGGTGCACATGGGCATATGTAAATATTTTATTAGGCATATTACAGGGCAGTTAACTTAGAACAGAACGTGTTGCATAACATTGGCTATGGCTATAGGTATTAAACATTATAAGGCAGAGTCTCCAATCTGAGAGAGCTAACTGATATTGCAAACACAAAAAAAACTATCCAGGAGTATCTGTCTTCAGAAAATACAGGAGTTTCTTGAAGAATTGTAATTTTATTTTATTATTTTTATTATTTTCAAGCATAAGTAAAAGTTATTTGAGTCTTTCTTAATAGTATAAATAGCCACTTATACATTTCTCACATAGAAGAATGATGACCAACTGTAAGCCGAAATTCAATACATGTTATTTAAATTAAAATGTGCCAGTACTTTATCAGTAAGTAGATAAGTAGATGGGCACTCTGAACTGATTATTAAAAATGCATCACTTAACAATATTAAGCATTTGGTTACATTATGATAGGATAATTGCAGCAATTTTGGTTCCTAATTTTATCAATCAAATAGACTCTCCAGCACTGTAATATGTTATATAGTTATTGCCATAGTGTTCCAAAACCCACATCAGGTGAGGGTCATGGCTACTTCCTAATTACCATCTGTTTAGCTTTGTTAGTGTTTCTCATTATAACTCAGAAGGTCAATGATACTGTTCATGATAGGAACCCAGCAAGGCGAAAAGTAATAAAATAGCTCTGAGACTAAGCAAGGCTCTGCTACTCCAACTGATGGACAGTTAATTACCTGAGCATAAAACAGTGAGAGCACTGGGAGAAATAGAGAACTTTGCAATATGGTAGATGTCCAAGTACAATATTATTTGGTGGTTTTTCAATGAACAATTCTGTTTAATTAAAACATGAGCATAACCTTTGTCAGAGGAGAATGTAATTTTGACAAAAGCAAAACATTTGGTTTTTAACAGCCTCACAGACTACTTAGATGAGCATTCCAAATCTAAGTTTCTATAGCAGTTTCTCACCCTTGGCAGTACATTAGAAGTACATAGAAACTTTATATAATACCAAAGTCGGGCCCCACCCCAAGCCAATTAAATCTAAATCTGTGGAGGGTGGAAATTAAACATGCCCATCTTTTTTTTTAAAGGTGGCTCAGATACTGCTTTTGTGCTTTGAAGGTTACAAACCACTATATTACAACTAACATTCAAAAGTCATCATTGCCATTATGGATCTATTTGTGAACAACTACAATCTTCTTTTTAACCTTTAATTTGCACTGCTTTTATATGGAAAGACTTGTGTAGCTCACTCATTAACCATTGTCTTTAATTTGTCTTTTAAATTATCAACTAATTAATCTTTTAAAAACTTCACATCTGACTTCTCAGCTCCCATGGAGGAATTTTGAACGTGAAACCAAAAGGCATTTATTCCTAGAAAAAAGTTTTAGAATCCCTTCGAAGTGTCCTTTCAAACCTCTGAATAACAGAAATCCCATAAATCCTATGGGATATATGTTTTTCCATAGAATTAGATGATTAATTCTATCATTTTAATTAGTAAAGAGAAGAATAAACAATTAGATGTAAAGCCCTTATGTTAAAAAAAATACCTTTGTAACTATCGCTAGATACTTATTTTCTATAAACATTTTATAGAATTTAATTTTTTTTATTTTTAAATAGGCTATGGATCTTTTCATAGTGAAACCATGTCCACAGATTTCTAGAGTTTACATAAAAATGATTTACATTATGTGACCTAAGTTGACACCTGATAGTTTCATGACCAGCTAACCACTTCAAGGACAGTGCAAAGGGCAGAAACCTCTCTTCGCTATGATTTTCAGAGGGAATATAGAAGTACCAGTCTTCCATGGCCAGTGTCACTTTCATCTATCTATTTGATCACCTGTAAAAAAAAAAAACAAAAACTAATATGAGTTTTAAAGAAAATGTGAAAAAAATGCTATTTCTTAATTTTAAAACTTCTTACACCTTGACTTTGTGTTTTTAGTTTGAGATTTTTTAAATATTTAGAATGTCTCAAAAATACGTGCTACAGTCTCATTAAACTCCATACATTGTTTTCAAAAGATATTCTTTTCTTTTTGTTTTTTTTCAACTAGGACCCCTACTATGGCTGGTGGCCTATTTTCTATTGACAGAAACTACTTTGAAGAGATAGGAACTTACGATGCAGGAATGGATATCTGGGGTGGAGAGAATCTTGAAATGTCTTTTAGGGTAATTGCATTTTATTTTATTTTTTGATGCTGAACATACAATGCTGTAGCATGCACATACCAGTCCCAGTAATTTACTGTCAAATCATTTTTGCTGAGTGATGCAAATTACTGATCAATTGGTTATCTTAATTCACATTTTGATTTGACAGAGTCCTATTGCATGCAATATTTTCTTCTAAATGGGAAATTATAGGTAATTTTTGTTTTCAAAAATATTGTTTTTATTCACAGTAAAAATACATTAGGACTTTCAATTGCTGAAATAAAGAAGGGTTTTATTTTTTAATAACGTGTTGCTCTATAAAATCACTTTGTGTTTTTGAACTGAAACTTGGAAGTATTTATGTAATCTGAATTTGCAACTACTGCCTCAGGTTGTTCTCAGAAAACTTTAAGAATGAACTGTGGTCAAATGAATTTGGATAATTCTGCAAGTAGTGTGACCATTTTCACTAACATTATTGTTGGATAAGTCAGTTTGAATAAAGCAACTTCATTTAATAAATGGCCTTCCATGTAAATAAAAATTGAGGAATAAGTCCTTACGAATATGTTATTAGGAAAGTTTAATAATAATTTAAATAATATTTTGTTATATTCAAAAAATTTAAAAATGAACACATAAGTTTTCTTTCATGCTAAGAAATTGATAAGCACTAACATAGTGGTTTTGTTTTTCAAATCACTGCTTTTTTTTCTACCTAAAATTCAGTGTAAACTATTTGTGAGTGTTTTTTGTTATTGTTGTTGTTGTTTTTTGAGACAGAATTTCCATCACCCAGGCTGGAGTGGTACAGTGGTGCAATTTCAGGGCTCACTGCAGCCTAGACCTCCAGGGCTCGGGTGATCCTCCCACCTCAGCCTCCCTTGTGGCTGGGACTAGAGGTGTGCAACACTACTCCTAGCTATTTGTTTTTCTATTTTTTGTAGAGACAGGGTTTTGCCATGTTGCCCAGGGTGGTCTCAAATTCCTGAGCTCAAGCAATCCACCCCCCTCTGCCTCCCAAAGAGTTGCGATTACAGGCATGAGCCACCACACCCAGCTTCAGTGTAAAATATATGAAACATTCCATCTTCGCCCAAAATATTTGTACAATAAAATTATTAGAGTTTAGATGTATTTATCTATGAAGTTTAAAAATTATGCCTTTTAATTTCTCATTTCAAAAGTAAAGTTTGTTTTTCATTATCATAATATAAATACGTGTGATGTTGTGTAAGAAAATGTTAAAATTTGAGAATGAGTTACCTTGAATTTCTCTACTGTAGAATTCAGTGGATCTTGGATAAATTATTTTAAAATCAGTAGGATGGCCTAGTTATATTACTATTTTGCCTGTAAACTTTCCTGATAGCCAGATGTCTGAGACAAACCTTAGTTAATGGAATTTTATTATTTTTGCATTTGTCTATATGCTTATATTCTCATGAAACTTGCCAAACCAAACTCAGCACCACACTCAGGAATATCTTCTTGCCTTCAGGTCCATGGACAGTAACTCTTTGCAGGAATTTTGAGGACATTTGAGAACCCAAAATTATTACCTGTTATGGTTCTTATGGTGAAAGAAATAAGAGGTAACAGAAAAAGAAAAGAAATCAGTATATTCAGAAGTTTAGAAATAATTTGCTTCTATTCTTAGAAGTAATAATGAGAGAATGTACTCATTCATTAACTGATATTCTTCGGGTGCTATGCTGGGTTACGTAAGAAATAAAATCAACACAGAAATACCGCTACTATATAGGATCCTCTTGCTACTTTTTCTCTTGTCTTCCTAAAATTAGAATTCACCTCTTTCCTCCCTACCTGTTAAGCTTGATTTTCTGCCAATGTACTCCTCTTACTTTTATCACATATCTCCCAGATTGGCGGGATGCTCTTTATCTAACTGGTTGAAAGTAGAATTCAGAAAGAATTTAGTGGAATAATATGATAAACAAGGAGGACCTGATCAGGAAATGTAACAGAGGTATAAATGTATAAAAAGGAAGACTTGAGGATATGATAGATGATGCAGATACCAAGGGTACAGAAGGAATGCAGCTAGGGGCTGTAAGAATAATCAAATCCCTCAAAAATGACACAGGAGGTTTTCTGTGATTGGTTATTGGGATTATTAGGAAATAAAATACTTATCAGTGACTATTTTAAAACAATATCAAGTGTTTTAAAATGTATTATTATCTTTAGTTTCCATATGACTTTAATAGAAACAAAATATGTATTTTGCTTTTTATTAGACTCTTAATTTATGTTTTACTTTCTTCTCTGTGACATGAATATGTTTGCTTAATGGTTTGTACTGTAGCTGAGGTAGACATTGATAAGGAAAAATGCTAGAATAGTGCATTGACAAAAGATTGAGACCACTCATCTCTCTTTAATTTCATGACTTGATGAAATGAGAATATGTTGAGCATTTATAATCAGAGGGTTTGAATCTAATATCCAGCTCAATCATTACACAACAAACATACATTGAGCAAGTGATATGTTTCCAGGTGCTGACTTTACAAAGATGAGTAAAGCATGATGCTTCTTTGCTCTCAAAGAACTGCATTCCTATGACAGAGATGCGTAGGTGTTATTGTCAAGAAAATGTGATAATTTCCTTTATAAATTTATGTGTGAGGTTTTTTGTCTCTGTCATGTGAGTATAGGTGAACATAAACTCAACTGTAAAAAGGTGATTATAATAATAGTGAAGTTATTGTGGTTTTGTAGCTGTGGTCTACATAGGTTCTAGTCTAAGTAAAGAAGATAGAAATATTTAGGGCTTGCAAAATGTTAAGATTCTGACTCACCTCAAGGTATTTTAAGCCAAACCAAAGGAATACATTGCAAAGACTTATTTGTAACATATCACTTGATCGCTGTACTTAAAGACATTTGAAAATTTTATGAAAGCTGTAGACTTCCTAAGGAAGATGTTTCCAACCTTTTAAAGACAACAGATTTAAATACGGTTTCAAAGTGTTTAAAAATCTCTTGAAACCTTAGGAGAAAGATCCTTGGCATATAATAATAGTGACTATTAGTATTTATAGTAGCTAGTAAGTGGAATAGCTAAGAGTTGACCCGCAGCATTCTGACACCAGGGACTGTGCTGTTAAATACCATACTGTTACCTCCTCATTAAGGTTCATCTCTCCATAACATAACGAACCTAACAGTTGATGGTATTATTAGGAGAAAGAAAGACGCTAACATGCAAATACAAGCTTCCTCCACAATTCTGAGATGCTTCTCTCGTCTATAATCTTATCTTCCTCTTATAGGCTATAGCCTCTAATGGAAGATAATACACATTCAATAGCAGTGAGAATATCAGGTATATCTACCAGAGAACAGCAGTTAGGTCTTAATGCTTCTGAAAGCTGTTTCAAATATTTCTCCCTACTGCATTACACAACAATCACTGCAATAACATAAATCCTAACAGCACTGTCTAAACATAAGCATTAATTAATTATGTTTAGACAGTGTTATGTATCTGCTGGGGATACAGTAATGAACAGAACAGACAAAACTTTGTGCTCTTATGGAACTTAGATTTTGGAGAAAGAGACAGACAATAAACAAAATAAATAAAATTTATTAAAATATCAGTTATAGGTGTTAAAGAAAAAATATAAGGAAGGAAAGATTCTATGAAGTGTTGGATTTTGGAGGATACATAGGGGTTGAAATTTTAGACAAGAACTGAGAAATTGATACCCAAATAAAATAGTGATAAAATGAACCAAGAAAATTATGAATTACCATCAAAAAGTATCCTCTATCTTTAAATAATAACCGTGTTTCAGGATAAGTATCAACCAACAAGCATCACCACCAAAAGTCCTTGTCTTTTATAAGCAATATCATGGGGAGCAGCATTCCCAAGAGTACAGATCATTTTGCCCATTCTAAAATGAAGAAAACTGCCACTATCCAATCAACTCAGAGCATGGGAAAAAATAAATAAAGGAGCTTGATGACAGCAAAGGACACAGAAATCTGTCTCACAGCCATGAATGGTTACAAGTATGGACTGGGATTCAGATAGCCTGCATTCAACACCCAGCTCTGGCACTTACCATCTGTGTAAGCTTAGGTAAGATAGCACATATTCTAAGCTTTAGTGTGTCCATCTCTAAAACAGAAAGATAACAGTACTTTCCTCATTTTTAGAGAAAGATTAAATGATATTATGTATATTGTGCTGAGTACTCCACTCAGCACATAGTGTGTCATTCATGGCAGCTGTTGTGGTGATTGTTATAAGCTGTGCAACTCTGGGCAAGTCATAACATTCCTGAGAATCACCTAAAAACAATCTTACCTTTAATAATTTGGCTTTGATCATGGTTAATCACAAGAGAGAATGTAGAGAAAAAGTCATTTAAACCCAGAAATGCAATATACATTAAAGTATAATTATACTAAGTGTTAGTTGAGATGTAGTTCTAAGGCTCCCCTGCTCAAAAAATATATTAAATTTTAAAAAGGAAAAGAAAAACCACACACAAAAAAATACTTTTTATACTTCCACAACATCATTGGAGTTAATTACTGACATCTAAGAATCTAGGGTGGAAAACATTTTTCTACACTCATAAATCAGTTGGAATGAAACAGTTGTTAATTTTTAAAAGTATGTATCATCTAGACTTGGAGTAACAAGTACTAGATTTACCATTCTCCTCGTCATTCACCTGAATAAATTAAAAAATGGACAAAAATACATGAAATAACACTTTCAAGACATTGAACAGCAGTCACCCTGAGAGATGGGAAACAAACAAGGAAAGCCTTACAATTGCCTCGGCTTACTGCCTTGTGAAAGTTTCTAGGCCTTAGTGATAAAAGGGCTAGATACTGACAGACTCCATGACTTGAGGAGATGAAGCTGAGTGTTTGGGGAGACCAAGCCCGCTGGAATTTGGTGAACAGAGTAATGGAGTCCTGGGCAGAGCATTGAAGAGATATACAGAGGTTTCTGTGGGAGTATTCAGCTGTGTCTTCACAAGTGTGTGAGGAAACAATCCAAGTCTGAGGAAAGAACCTTCAGAAAAGGTTAGAGGTCTCATTGCCCAGTGATGACTCAGGAAAGTCAATAGTACCTGTATCCTCCAGACAGATTGATTCATGAGGTAAGGGGTAGAGGAAATATTGAGAAACTACATAACATACTTCTTAAAAACCCATGGATAGTCTGGATGTGGTGGCTCATGCCTGTAATCCCAGCACTTTGAGAGATCGAGCAGGCAGATCACCTGAGGTTAGGAGTTCAAGACCAGCCTAGCCAACATGGTGAAACTCTGTCCTTACTAAAAATACAAAAAAAAAAAAAAAAAAAAATTAGCTGGGCATGGTGGTGGACTCCTGTAATCCCAGCAACTCGAGAGGCTGAGGTAGAAGAATCGCTTGAACCCAGGAGGCAGAGGTTGCAGTGAGCCGAGATCATGACACTGCACTCCCGTCTGGACAACAGAGCGAGACTCTGTCAAAAACAAACAAACAAACAAAACCCACAGATTAAAGAACAAGTAAAATTACCACTATTTGGAATGTAATGAAAATGAAAACATAGCACATCAAAATGTGTAGTGACACTAAAGCAAACTTAGGAATTATTTATAGCACTAAATGTCTATATCAGAAAAGAAAAAAAAAAAAAAGAGGTAAAATCAATGACCTTAGCTTCCACCTTCAGAAACTAGAAAAAGAAGAGTTTTTATGCCAAAGTATCTAAGAAAAAGGAAATAATAAAGATAACAGCAGAAATAAATGAAATATAAAAGGAATATATATAATATTCCACATATATGATACCTATATGATAAAAAAAAATATATATATATGGAAAAGCAATGAAACCAAAATTTGTTTCCTTGAGATCAATAAAATAGATGATATTTTAGCCAAATATGGGAAAAATAGAGAGATGACACAAATTATCAATTTTGGAAATCAGAAAGGTGGCATGACCACCATGTATTCTACAGATGGCTAAAAGGATTGGAATGGAACATTATCATTCTCATTATGCCAATAAACTTGACAACTTAGATAAAATGGACAACTTCATTAAAAGATACAAATTATCAAAGCTCACAGAAAGAAAAAATAGACCAAACAGCCCTGTATCTAGTAAATAAATGAAATTTATTCTAAAAATTTATAATTTTTAATACTTTAAAAATAATTTTTACAAAGGAAACTCAATGGCCAGATAACCTAACTGGTGAACTCTACCAAATGTTTTGGGTAGAAATCAGAAGAGTTCGGGCCAGGCTCAGTGGCTCATGCCTGTAATCCCAACACTTTGTGAGGCCGAGGAGGGCAGATCACCTGAGGTCAGGAGTTGGAGAACAGCCTAGCCAACATGATGAAACCCTGTCTCTACTAAAAATACAAAAATTAACCGGGTGTGGTGGCGGGCACCTGTAATCCCAGCTACTTGGGAGGCTGAAACAGGAGAATCGCTTGAACCCAAGAGGGAGAGGTTGCAGTGAGCCAAGACTGCACCATTGCACTCCAGCCTGGGCAAGAAGAGCAAAACTCTGTCTCAAAACAAACAAACAAACAAATGCTTCCACAAAATTGAAAGGAGGTAGTACCTCCCAATTCATTCTGTGAGATCAGCATTACACAGATACCAAAACTTGACAAAGTCATTACAAAAATAGAAAACTAAAAATTAATATTCCTGGTAAACATTGATGCAGAAATTCTAAATAAAATTAGCAAATCAAGTTTCTCCGTATGTCAAATAAATAATATATCTGATTAAGTAGTGTTCATTGCAGAAATGCAAGGTTGGTTTAGCATTCAAAAATCCATCAAGGTAATTCACCGTATCAAGAAACTAAAAAAAATTGATTGGTCATCTGAATAGAGTCAAGAAAAGTATATAACAAACTCAGTCTACTCCTGAATTTAAAAAGAAAACCAAAAACAAACAAACAAAAGCCCTGAGCAAACTATTTATAGAAAACTCATCAACCTGATAAAGGGTTTGAGCAAAAAAACCTACACATATTTAATGTTAAAACATTGAATGCTTTCCTTCTAAGATCAGGAATAAATAAAGATTTTGGATCTTACTACATCTACTTAACATTATACTGGAAGTTTTAGGCACAGCAACAAGGTCGGAAGAATAAATTAAGCCATCCATATTAGGGAGGAAAAATTAAGACTATAATTCCAGAAGACAAGATTATCTACAAAATCCAATGGAATCTACAAAAGTATTGCTGAAACAAATAAGACAGTCTTCTTATCAAGGTTGTAGAATATAAGAACAATGTATAAAAGTCAACTTTATTTCTATACACTAGCAACAAACAGCAGAAAACTGATATTAAACATTATCTAAAATAATGTAAAAAATATGAAAAAGTGATAAATCTGACAAAAGATGTGCAAGACCTCTATGCTAAAAACTGCTGTATATTACTGAAATTAAAGACCTAAATGAATGAAGATAAATACTATTATTTATTAATAGTTAGTAGACTCAATATGATATTAAGATGACAATTCTCCCTCAGATCAATATAGATTCACTGCAATAGCAAGTGTATTGTATTTACTTACTATTGCATATCAATATAGATTCAATGCAATAGTTAAGTGTATTGTATTTACTTAACTATTGCATTGAATCTATATTGATAAGCAATAGTAAATAAAACTTATTTTGTTAGGTAGAAATTGACAAGTTGATTCTATCCATATAGATATACAAGGGATGTATAATAGCTAAAAATGCATTAATAAAGAAAAAAGTTAGAGAATTAACAAAGTAGGATTTAAAATGTATTATAAAGCTATAATAATCAAGACTGTGTGTTATTAACATAAAGACAGACAAAGGAACAGAACTGAAAATCTGGAAATAAACTTAACACATACGTGGACAACTGATTTCTAACAAATATGCAAAGGCTGTTTAGTAGAGAAAGAATAGTAGTTTCAAAAATATTATTAGAACAACTGAATGTCTATGTGGGGGGGAAAAACAACTCCAATCCATAACTTATACCATGAAAATATTAATTCAAAATGTAAAAATATAAAATTATAAAAGAAAACATAGGAGAAGAACTTGTGTAACCATTGATTAGACAAATATTCCTTAGATATGACACCAAAAGTATGAGTCATAAGAGAATGGATTGGTAAATTAGATATCATTAAAATTTAAAAACTTGTGCTTTTCAGGCCGGGCATGGTGGCTCACGCCTGTAATCCCAGCACTTTGGGAGGCCAAGGTGGGCAGATCACTTAAGGTCAGGAGTTTGAGAGTAGCCTGGCCAACATGGTGCAACCCCATCTCTACTAAAAATACAAAAATTAGCTGGGCGTGGTCGTGGGCGCCTGTAATCCCACCTACTTGGGAGGCTGAGGCAGGAGAATCACTTCAACCTGGGAGGCGGAGCTTGCAGTGAGCCGAGATAGTGCCACTGCACTCCAGCCTGAGCAACAAAGTGAGACTTCGTCTCAAAAACAAACAAACAAACAAAAAAACTTGTGCTTTTCAAAGCCACTATTAAGAGAAAGAGAAGTGAAGGCACTGACAGAAAAAAAGAAGTTAGCAAATTATATATCTGATAATGGATTTGTATCTAGAAAAAAAAACTCTCAAAACTCAGTAATAAGAAAACATTCAACTCAATAAAAAATGAGCAAAATAACTTGAATAGACACTTCACTAAGAAAGGTCTACAAATGGCAAATAAGCAATTGAGTAAATCCTCAGCAGTTAGTGGGGAAATGAAATTTAAACCACAATGAGATTACACTATGCATTTATTAGAAAAAGAAAGGTTAAGAAGGCTGACCATGTTGGTGATAATATGGAAGAACTGCACCTGCAATGCTGGTGGCGATGTACAATGGTACACTAAACTCCAAAAAACAGTTTTAGTACTTTTTAAACACTCTTGAGTATTTACTCAGTGGAAAGGAAAATGTATATTCATACAAAGAGTTGTATGCCAATATTCATAGCAGCTTTATTTGTAATACCGAAAGCCAGAAACAATCCAAATGTCCATCAGCAGGTCAATGAATAAACTATGCTTTGTCCATACAAAGAATGTGTGCAAACTATTAATGCACCCTACAACTTTGGTGAATTTTGTAATAATTATGCTGAATGAAACAAGCCAGGCAAAAAGATTACATACTATATGACTTCATTTGTATAAAATTTTAGTAAATGCAAACTAATCTATGAAATCAGATAACTTGTCTGGGGACATGAGATTGAGGTGGCAGAGGGAGGATTGCAGGGAGGGATTACCAAGGGGAGCATGAAAACTTTTAGTGGTAATGTATGTATTCATTATCTTGATTGTGGTGACAGCCTCACAAGTTTCACCTATGACAAAACTTCTTATTGAGTGGTACAATTTAAATATATGCAGTTCATTATATGTTAGTTATACTTTAATAAAGCTGTTAAGAATTAAAACACACACACACAGAGAGAGAGACAGAGAGAGAGAGAGAGGCATACTCCAAAGAGAAACAAATGAAGGAAAAATGTAGTTCAAAGTATCTACTTAACAGTAAACCTCTATACTTTAGGTTAGATTCTCAATATATCATAGTCCAGTTACTTTTAAATATCCCTGTTGATCTGATTATAACAGTCTACCTCCCAGGACAACTGTATTCATTAAATGAAGTAATACTCATTAAAGCTGTTTATAAATAAACTGTATGGCAATATTACTTTTTATTATAATTACCCTTAAAATAAGCTCTTTTGTCAGTAACTAATATTTTAATTAACAAGATCGAATTTACTTCAAGTACCCCAATTTTCTTTTGCTTGCAAATCACAGTGAAAACAATAGTGTATTTACCTGAAGAATATAGCTAAGTGAAATGTCTTCTCATGTGAAATCCATGTATTTCCAATTTGTACAAGCAATGAAGTGGAAAAGAAATGAGAGCTGACATAATAAATAGTGGAAAAATGAAAAGCAGGGGTTCCCATTGAACAGAATAGTATGGTAAATGAGACAATGAAATTTGTCAACCTTTAGGGGCTTATAGTATCCAGACTTTTTAAAAATACTTAAAGAAAGTAAAGAATTTTCTAAGCAATGTCTACACAATTCAAATTTTGACAAGTGAAAACATCAGCCGTAATAATTTATTAGAAATCATTTTAGACAAAAATCCAGCTGATTTATTTCTCTTAGAGTTCTTTGCCTTTTTGTAAACTTAATTCATACAAATCTGATGAAAGTAGGTTATTTGTCAGTGTGTAAAACTTGACTGGTTTTTTTTTTTGGATCAGTCATAGAAACCAAACTATAATAGAAATATGGAGATGGTTTTGCAGGATACTTTTCTTTAAATATGATAAATCACTCTCTTAATGATAATATAGAGATTATTAGCCTTTTTAAAAAATCCTATGAAATCATAAACTGACATCATGTGTGTGTAGTCTCCACAAAGAATGCAGACCAATCTTAATGATTTGGTTCAGCAAATGTTTCTCTTGTTCCCCATTTGGTGCAGGCTGAACCTTAAACATATTGAAGAATAGCTTGAAGTTTTAGCTTCTGTGCCTGCAACTAGTTTTTCTGTCATCTCGGCCACCACTTTGCTTTGAACCATTGTTTAAACATATATTTTCATTCAAAGAAGGGCTTTTTAAATTTAAACCACAGAATAAAAAATATTTCTAGATAAGAGGCAATGAGACAGTGCTACTAAAGATTGTCATATATATATTTATATATATGTGTATATATATATATATATATTTCTAAAGCACAGGGTGAGTAGGTGTCACAGAATAATATTTCATTATGGTTCCTAATAGAATTCTGTTTATCCAAAACAAATGTGTTAGAATTTTATTTTGAATATTAACTGCTATAAATAACTGGCTTTGTATGCTCCTTTAGAAAAAAATAAGTGAACAACAGGTAAATTAGACATTAATCAAGCTTTAGAAGAACATTAGCAAACATTAACAAAACTTGTATTGCTCTTAAAATTATAATAGCTTAAGGCATCGTAATTTCAATAACTACATTCCTCTATTAATATTTTTGGTTCAGAAAACTGGAATATGAGAAGAGCTTTATATTAGCCTTTGATATGATGCTTTACCTTGTAAACATTCAATTTGGAGACATGCTTATAGTTTTAGAAACATAAAGCACTTAAAGTTGTTTAGATGCACTAAAACTTGGTATTAATCTCTGGTTCTCTTTTATATTCATTTAATTATTTCTTAAACTAATTGAAAATAATTTTGAGGTGGTCGGTACCACCCATAATTCGTTTTTAAAGCATAACCACTTATTTATACCTTTTCTATTATTTCTAAAATCATCCTAAGAGATTACTAACATGAAAATTCACAATTGAAATGATTCAAAACAAAGCAACCGAGAGGAAAGATGAAAATGAAGGGCAAGAGAAATAAAGTAACAAGAAAATGGGATAAACTAGTCACATTGAATAATCAATAACTTTATTCAAATATTCCTGACAGCTAAAGTGAAAATAAATTAGTAAATAAAATTGCACTGAACCTTTTTTTTTCTTCAGATGAAAGGAACTAGATTCTGAAAGGCATTGCCCAGTAGACACAAAGCAGTTGATATGTTAGACCATGTTTTAGCAAACATCCACTAATGCCTTTAAATGGATAGTGGGTTTCTTGGGTGCACTAAGAGAAAATTATCAATTTTATTGCTTTCCAGTGATTTGATCTCATAAAGGAATATATCTTGAAGATAGAGTATCATTTGGGGTTTTTCTGTAAATAAAACGTATCTAAATTCAGTCAAGCTTAAATGTTGGTCAATTCACATTTGAATTATGTTAGCATTCTTTTCTCTTAATAAAAATAGAACTCACATACACAAGATGCAGGGATGTAGATACTAACATTAGTGGCTGGTCATGAAAACTATGATATAAACTTTTTCTCCTACTCAGACCCATCACATTTCTTCACAGGTTTGGTTCACAGGGTTGCTTGTGAATAATGTTATTAGAGAATGGATTTGCTTGGATACAACTTGGTAAAGAGATTAAAATGTAATAAAGATACAAATTGTCTAGATATTTTTGGTTATGCTATTTGTTATCTGTGCAACGCATAGAATAATTGGCCATTACTGGCTGCAATGAAATATCTATGCTAGCTTGTAACAGCTGTCTTGGAACTAAACAAACTAAAAATTTTGGAGAAGTTAAATATGAGCTTTGTTAGGCAATTTCATGAGGATTTAGAAGATGGTAAAACAAATCCTAGAGTTATGAGAAGATAGGTGAGGTTTGAACTGAGTGTTAAAGAACTGACAGAAGTTAGCTATGTCAGGAATAAGAAAGGCATTTGAGGAACAGAATACCACATCTGTGGAATTAGAATATGTGTCATAAACCTAGCCCTCTTGCATTAATAACATTCATTTCTTCTCTTTCATGACCTCACAAAATCTCATCATATGAGTGTTTCTCTGGAGAATTGTAAGCATATACTGTATTGGTAAACCAACAAAAATACTCGTCTACTATCTAACCAATCATGAATACTATCTGTTTATTTTATTCATCTATATATATATCTATCTAATTTATGTGTATGTGAGTCTATGTTAGCATAAAAACTAAATATTTATGAGGGCCCAAAATGTAAGTCTCTAGTGGTAGTTACTGTAGAAGCTATATTGTAACAATGATGTATGGATAAAAATTTTACAGTATTAGATGTCTCTATAAAAATAAATGCTGAATGGTACTCGCAAGACATCCTGAATGAGTTGGAACTAGGATAGTAAAGGAAATTATAAAATTATGGAACCCTGAAAGATGGACAGGAATTAAATGCATAAAAAGAAAAAGAAATCGAATGAAAATTATACAAAAATAGTAATGTATAAAGTATACATTTTCATTTCCATTAATAAATAAAGAAGTGAATGATATTTTATAGGGCTTATCCAGAAATACACATTGGAAATGTTTTGTTGGAAAATCAATCTAATTGAGAAAGTTTTTCTGTCTTCTTGAATGATACCATTAGATGGAAATAAAGGTACACACAAGAAAAATAAACAATTAACTTCTGAACCATGATAAAAACACTTTTGAAAATATTATTCTTTAACAGATACAAGGATATTTTAAACATACTAAGCAGAATGTCCCTGTATATAGCAATAAGCCAGGAATACCTGGCTTTTTAGTGAATTTCAGTACATTAAGTAACCAACACTCTTATTAGAGACCAATGTCTAAAATGTCAACTTTGAGAAACATACTTCATTGCTGTGGCTTTCTGACCCTTCTCTGCTCATATGAACAGATATTCCACGTGCATGTTACCCTTAAAAGTCTTTATAATCTTTCTGATCCCAAACATAAAGGACTTAAATTCAGCGGTTTGAATTTATGGCAATAAAAACAGCTATATGAAGAATGTTAATGTGCTCAGAATTATTGAACAGACAAGTTTCATATCCCCTTAAGGCCAAATTTCACTAGAGCCTCCCATTAAGTGTGCTTAATCAAACAAAATGATGCTGAAAATTAAGTCAATTATCCTGCTGATTTACATTTGAAATGTCCCTGAAATATTCTAATAAAGAAATGTTTAACTTTCTTTTAAATCTAAATATATGCTGCCGTGAATTGACTTTTAGCTATTTATTTTACAAATTAGGGTTTCATTTTTCTTACGTGGAAAGGGAAAGTTAAAGTAAATAACTTGTAAAAAAATAGCTTTAAAATTTTAAAAAGCATTTATACAGATTGGGTTTGATTAATGAGCTACAACTGCCATTAAATTCAAATGAAATGTGCAAATAAGTTTAAGTCAGGAAATTTACTGGTTAATTTTAAAATGTTTGTCAGTTCTTGGGCATACTCAGTCCCTGGTCTCGGTTTCCTAGAACTTATGCTAGAGGGAGACCATAGACGATAAATGAGTAAGCAGAAATATTATTCTGTTAATTTCAGATAAAGTCAAGTGCCTAGAAGAAAATAAAATAAGGTAAAATGTTGTGAATGACAGAGGTGGAGGATGAAGGGTAGAGAACTACATTACCTAGAGTGGTCAGAGAAACCCTCCCAGGGGACATTTGGGCTGATACCAGATGACAGGAAGCATCTATCTATGCAAGGATTTGCAGGGGGGAACATTCAGCATAGAAAAAAAATGATAAATGCAAAAGGCCTTATGCAGCTATGAAGTGAGCTCAGTTCTCCTGTTCCAAGTCTATAGGATCACAAATAGCCTGAAGAATTGGGAGGGTTAGGAGAGAGGTCATCCTCTCAGAATAATGTTTTGGTTGACTGATTTGTTCAGCATACAATTAATGTGTACCTATTTGCCACATACAATCACACACTACATAATTGTGTTTTGGTCAACAACGACACATATACAATGGTGGTCCCATAGGATACTACTGTATTTTTACTATATCTTTTCTATATGTAGATATTTTTAGATACACAAATACTTACCATTGTGTTACAGTTGCCCACAGCATTCATTACAGACACATGCTTTTCAAGTTTGTAAGCTGTACCATCTAGGTTTGTATAAGAACATTCTGTAATGTTCACATGATAATGAAATCACCTAATGGTGCATTCCTCAAACTGTATCCCAGTCTTTCAGTGTTGCATGTACACCGAGTACAGTTACAAAAGATGTACAAGAGATGTTTTCTAAGAGATTATATTTTGATGAAGGCTTACATTTGAATAATACATAATAAAATAAATAATAATAAAATCATTTTACAAGTATTGTTATAATGGATCTAGTATAGATTAAATATATAAGAAGGTTTTTTCTCATTATTTTGTTTCTTATCTTGAATGCATTTTGTAACATTTGCATTATACTTCAGATCACCTCTAAGTATCAGCCAACTATAAATCAACCCTCATTTTACCTATCAATCAGTATAAATATTCACATACCTAAACCTGCAATAGACCCTGTGGATGGCATATACGCAAGGTGTGGTTCTTGATTTCTTTCACTGTGTGGGTATGTAAGATAGCAAATAGCACCTGATAATGTACGAAGTTCTAGGTATCATTTGAAGATGCAGATATATAGTGCATTAAGTTCAAAGGAGGGAACGATTGCTGTGGTCTAAGACATTCATGGAAGAATTTAGAAATAAAAAATTTAAGGGTATATGTAGTCTTGTGAAAAGAAGCAGAAAAGCATGGCCTGGAAATCTGTGTACTCTCAGTTTACAAAGTTCTCTGCTGCTGTGATCCTTGATATAGTTTGGCTGTGTCCCCACCCAAATCTCATCTTGAATTGTAGTTCCTGTAGTCCCCACGTGTCATGGAAGGGATCCAGTGGGAAGTAGTTTAATCATGGGGGTGGTTACCCCCATGCTGCTCTTGGCACTTCTTGCTTGGCATTTCTCCTTGCTGCTGCCATGTGAAGAAGGTCATGTTTGCTTCCCCTTCCACCGTGATTATAAGTTTCCTGAAGCCTTACAAGCCATGCTGAACAGTGAGTCAACTAAACCTCTTTCTTTATAAATTACCCAGTCTTGGGTATGTCTTTATTAGCAGCATGAGAATGGACTAATACAGTAAATTGGTACTGGGGGTACCAAAAAGATACCCAAAAATGTAGAAGTGACTTTGGAACTGGGTAACAGGCAGAGGTTAGAAGAGTTTGGAGGGATCAGAAGACAGGAAGATGTGGGAAAGTTTGGAAGTTCCTAGAGACTTGTTTAATGGCTTTGAACAAAATGCTGATAGTGATACGGACAACAAAGTCCAGGCTGAGGTGGTCTCAGAGATGGGGAACCTGTTGTGAACTGGAGTAAAGGTCACTCTTGCTATGCAAAGAGAGTGGCAGCATTTTTTGCCTGCCCTAAAGATCTGTGGAACTTTGAACTTGAGAGAGATAATTTAGGGTATCTGGCAGAAGAAATTTCTAAGCCGCAGACCATTTAAGAAGAAGCAGAGCCTAAAAGTTTGGAAAATTTGCAGCCTGTTGATGCAATAGAAAAGAAAAACCCATTTTCTGTGGAGAAATTCAAGCCTGTTGCAGAAATTTGCATAAGTAACAAGGAGCCAAATATTAACCACCAAGACAATGGGGAAAAGGTTTCCAGGGCATGTCAGAGACCTTCACAGCAGCCCTTCCCATCACAGGCCTGGAGGCCTAGGAAGGAAAAATAGTTTAGTGAGTTGAGCCTAGGGCCTCCCTTGCTTGTGTGCAGCCTTGAGACTTGGTGCTCTGCATCCCAGATGCTCTAGCTATGGGTAAAAGGCATCAGTATACAGTTCAGGCCATTGTTTTAGGGGGTGCAAGCCCCAAGCCTTGGCAACTTCCACATGCTGTTAGGCCTGTGGGTTCACAGAAGTCAAGAATTGAGGTTGGGGGACCTCTGCCTAGGTTTCAGAGGATGTGTGGAAATGCCTAGATGTCCAGGCAGAGGTATGCTGCAGGAGTGGAGCCCTCATGGAGACCCTCTTGCTAGGGCAGTGTGGAATGGAAATGTGGGGTGCAAGCCCCCACACAGAGTCCCCCCTGGACATTGTCTAGTGGATCTGTGAGAAGAGGGCCACTGTCCTCCAGACCCCAGAATGGTAGCTCCACCAACAGCTTGCACTGTGTACCTGGAAAAGCCACAGACAATCAGCCCCAACCCAGGAAAGCTGACAGGAGAGGGACTATCCCCTGCAAAGCCACAGGAATGGAGCTACCCAAGGCCGTGGGAGCCCATCTCTTGTATCAGTGTGACCTGGATGTGAGACATGGAGTCGAAGAAGATCACTCTGTAACCTTAAGGTTTAATGACTGCCCTGTTGGATTTTGGGCTTGCATTGGGCCTGTAGCTTCTTTGTTTGGGCCAATTTCTCCCATTTGGAATGGGTATATTTACCCAGTGCCTGTACCCCCATTGTATCTAGGAGGTAACTAACTTGCTTTTGATTTTACAGGCTCATAGGCAGAAAGGACTTGCCTTGTCTTAGATGAGACTGTGGACTGTGGATTGTGGATGCTTTTCTTTTCTTTTCTTTGTTTTCTTTTCTTTTCTCTTTTCTCTTTTGTTTTCTCTTTTTTTTTGATGGAGTCTCACTCTGTTGTACAGGCTGGAGTACAGTGGCACAATCTCAGCTCACTGCAACCTCCTTTTCCTGGGTTCAAGCAATTCTCATGCCTCAGCCTCCCAAGTAGCTGGGACTACAGGTGTGGGCCACCACATCTGGTTAATTTTTGTATTTTGAGTAGAAACGGAAAATGCAACATCTGCATCTTCACCATATTGGCCAGGCTTGTCTTGAACTCCTGACCTCAGGTGATCCATCCACCATTGCCTCCCAAAGTGCTGGCATTAAAGGCATGAACCACCAGGCCCTGTCAGACTGTGACTTTTGAGTTAATGCTGAAATAGGTTAAGATTTTGAGTTAATGCTAAAATGAGTTAAGATGCCTCCTCATTGGGAATGCATGATTGCTTTTGAAATGTGATGACATGAGATTTGGAAGGGGCGGAATGATATGATTTATGTGTGTCCTCACCCAAATCTCATCTTGAATTGTAGTTCCCATAATCCCCTCATGTTGGAGGGATCTGGTGGGAGGCAATTTAATCATGGGGGTGGTTAGTTGAGTGCTGCTGTTCTCATGATGGTGAGTGATTCTCACAAGATCTGATGGTTTTACAAAGGGCTTTTCCCCCTTTTGCTGGGTGCTTCTTGCTGCTACCATGTGAAGAAGGATGTGTTTGCTTCCCCTTCCACCATGAGTGTACATTTCCTAAGGCCTTCCCAGCCATGCTGAACTGTGAGTCAATTAAACCTCTTTCCTTTATAAATTACCCAGTCTTGGGCATGTCTTTATTAGCAGCATGGGAACAGACTAATACACTCCTACTTTGTTCTTTGAGGCATATCTAAGTTTAGAGTAGAACATCTGATTTCCTGCCTTTTGTTTTCCCTATGGAAGATTACATGAATGAAGTATTACTAAAGCATTACATGTGTATCTTATAAAACTAAGATTTAAATGGCAGGATTAATAAAGTATTTATTAAAAATTCAACAAATTGAGCCTATTATTTTTATATACCTATATCTGATCCCTTAAAGACATCTAGGACAAAATTCCAAATCTGTTGTTTTTGTATATGTTCAGTTAGGAAACCTACTGAACCTCGCTCGTCAAAATTAATGCATTCAAAATTGAATCTATGTATTTTTTATTAAAGAGCCAACTTTAAATCTCTATGGTAACGACTGCAATAAATGTGCAACATCTTAAGCTATGATTATATTGTCACACTTAGTGATGTCTATCTTCATTACATGACTACCAATCGTTTTACTGTTGTTCTAGTCAACCAGAAATGTAGTTAAAAAAGGAAACCAATTATGAGATTTATTTAAATAAGACCGAACAATTTCTGCAATAACAGATTCTAGATACTAGGACTGACTCTGAGTGTGTGAGATAATGTTGAGGGGAGAATTTCATCCAACTGTAAAAAATTGAGTGGTAAGTACCAATACGTAATTACTACTGAGAAATTAAGTATAATTGAAAAGCTAGTTGTTGATTTTCAGTACTACCCTTAAAAATTATATTCAACCAAACAATATTTACAACATTTTCAAAATTCCAAATTTGATGCATTAGGAATTCTAAAGATGTTTTATAATTGTCAAACTAACCATGTGGTTACACTGCAAATATGCCAAAATTGAAATAAACATTTTTGGTATGGAATTATTAGCATTTCTGTACTGCCACCATGATACACCTGCATGTGATAATATATTTCTGCATGCCCTACTCTATCATCAAAGTTTTGGCAACATTTTCCCACTTACTTGCTTACTCCATAGCCTAGTAATATGTGATCCCTGACCAAAATATTTTTTCTCTATTTTAAGTGGTCAACCAAATTCTATATTTACTTTTTAAAATCCTATATTTTAGTTGGTCAACCAACTTTATATTCCATATTATTAATTGGCCAATAAAAGCTATTTGCATTTGCGAAAAACATCATAACTTATGGAATTCCTAAATTAAGATAAAAATCTATACAAAACTTTAAGCGTACTGTGTCCCACACTAATCCTGTAATGGTCTATTTGGATAGTAATTAGACCTGATGGAAGACTACTGCTCCTTCATCATTTCTCTGACCCTACAAGAGAAGACCTCAGGAACTGCAAGATTTCTTTTCATATTTGGGGAACAAAATGGAAGCTCTTGATTCTATAAAGTTATGGAAAGTTAAAGATGTACCAGGAGCAGTTGGAAATGTGTTGCAGGGTTGAGGCAAAGGATAAGGAATTAAATGGGTGTATGAGGATTGATTAATTTGCCAAGGAAGAAAATAGGGACAGCAAAAGAGCAAGGCATTTCCTTAGGTAGCACCTACTTTAGGGGTGGGAGAAAGAAGAAAAAGTGATTGCTAAGTCAAAACTGTCAGTGAAGAACAAATAAAATGTCACAAAAACTTAGAAAGTTATGGTGATTGTCAACAGTGTCAAATGCTACAGAGAAGTCAGGAAGTAGGAATAATGTAAGCTCATAAAAAGTTTCATGAGCAGTTTCAGATGATGGATTCAAGATAGTGGAATATAAGATGATAAGATAATTGGATTGTGAAAACATGTAGTGGGGGAAAAATCTTTTTAAGACATTTGCCCGCAAATAAGAAGGAAAAATCATAGTAACTTTAAGGTTAAATATGAGCAAAGTAATTATTTTGTATTTTCTATCATTTCATTTTATCATAAATTTAAAATAAAATATCATCTATTATATTTTAGATAGGTAAAATATCTAAAAATGAATAAGGAACTAGTTTTAAATATGCGGTGATATCTAAAAAGAAAAAGAAAGGGATAATTGATGAGATAAATACCTACAGGTATTGGACAAATGGTATAGCAATAAAGAATATCTGTGTGACACTTAGTTTACAGTGCAGTTTCACACTCATTATTTTACTATGTCCTTACCAGAACACTCTAGATGAGTTCTTATTATCATCTTATTCTATAGTTGAAGGTTCTGAGCCTCAGATAAATTGTCATGTGCCTAGAAATTGGCAGGGCTAAACATCAAACTCACATCTCCTGACTCCAAGTCAGGAACCTTAATACGAGTTCAGGAGACCAAGGGCAAGGGTGAACTTCAGAGAAGAGGATTGACTTTCTTTCCTAAAATGGAAAGAAGAAACTAAGGATATTTGAGACATTTCGAGGTAGAAATGAGTAGAAAATCAGGTGAGCTCTTTTTGATCTCAAGGAAAGTGGAGGCAAGAGATTATTTTCAGAGAAGATAGAATTTATATGGAGCTTGATAACAGGTGAAAATTTTGGATTAATCACAGCTTCTTCAACAAGCATTTGAATGAGCATTTGATGTTCTCTATGGAGCAACTTTTAAATTTCACAAGAATAACATTTTGAAGTACTAGTGTACCAAGGAAATTATCTTTACTGGACTTTAAGCATCATATCTAAAGAAATAAACTTTGCACTCCCCTCTCCTTGTTTGTGACTGACAAGTTAGCAAAGCAATATGCCAAATGTTGCTATTTCATGGTTATTTCTTTACTCTTCTAAAGTGTAATGTAACCTTCATTGACTATTACCAATTAATTTTTTTAATAAAAAACTGTCAAAAGTAGAGTATTAATTTCCTTCTTAGGATGTTTGTGGGTTTCTTGAATAAGTACTTGAGGTGACATTAACATGGATATTTTTAGGTGTTTCACATTGGTTCTTGCCAAACTCTATATAGCAAAAAAAAAAGTGCCTGTAAGATGAGTTTTGAGAGGTACTCATATTTTCCATTGACAGCATTAGAATTTTAGATATGCCCCCTAGGGAAAGTACTTATTTGAAGCAAAACTTACAGCTTTAAAAAATAATGTCTTAGGTTCTTGACTAGAAACAAAATGACTCTAGCTGATTAAAAGCCAGGAGAAAGGCATCCTGTCTATCACGATGGTGGGGGTGAGAAACTCTCAAGTCCCCTTCTTGTAAGCATGAGAGACTGTTTATTTATTTATTTCACTGTCAAATGCAAACTGATGACTAGACTTTAACTTTAATATGCCCAGTTTTGACATTCACAACTAGACTGGCCTGTAAGCTACTAGAGAGCTATGTATTATTATTATTCTTTTTCTATGCCCCAGAGCCCAGCATTGTGCTTGACAACACACAAAGTAATTGGCTAATATATATTTGCTGAATATATGCCAGCCAGGATCTTAGAAAAAAATTCTCAAGAGGAGACAGGTTGTCCTATTTCCTCAAATTTATCACAATTCTCTACATTTGGGACACACATGACCACTTTACAAATTACACAGGAAATTTAATTGAAACTGAAATTCTGTAACTCCAATTAGGAGAGGTGGACATTTACAGATGGAGAGACTGAAGGAAAACTTTTTCTGAGCTACCAGGTTTTCTTTTCCACTCAAGTTCTTTTTATGTATTGCTGGCATCTGTGAAAGAGCAAGAGATGCCATATATTGCAGCTGGGTACCCAGGTGGTCTACTGATATTCAAAGGGGACTGGTTTGGCATGAATTCTAGGGCAGCGTCACGCAGCTGTCATGAGCCACTCTGTGGCTAGAAGCAGCAGATGTTACTGATATCTGAAAGGCAGTCACATCAGACATGGGAGAAGACCAATGTAAAATGCAAGGTATCTGACCTACATATCATTTAAGAAATCACACACATTTTCCATTCAGTTTTCAAATTTACATCCACATACAATTTTTTTCACAGTTGAGAGTAATTGATAGGCTTAATTATACAACGAGGAAAACAAAAATTCCAATAATTCTACTTTTGTCTTAATAATCACTTAAATATACTGAAAATACTTTCAAAGCCTCCAGGATGTATTATACCTTAACATTATTAATTATTAAAAGATGAAAAAGTGTTACTGTATCATATATTATTTTTGTTTCCTTTCTTCATGAGTTACTGTTTGAAACAATTTGTGCTCATAAAAAAGCAATGCTTGTTTATAATGTGAAAACCTAACCATTAATTTCTTAAGCAGAACCATCTTATATTATGTAGGATTTCTAATATCTGACAGATGGCCTTACATTTTTTATTTCTTGCCTGTTATATTCATACATTTTATTTACACAGAGAACGGAAGATTTGCCACAATACAATCAGAACCATGTGTTGTATTGTTGATCTAAAGGACAATTGGGATTTTCTGAAATATCAGCAGCCCTAATAAGATGTGGAGTAATGACATGTAACAATTTTTCTGATTCCAGAAAACACAAAAGCCATAAAGTGTGGTGATCAATCCTAAAGGTCAGAAAACTCCAAGGCAAAGAAAGTTGTCGAAAGGCAAAAAGTGACAGTAGATTGTACATTAGGAAATGTTGGCATGAGTATTTTGGGGGTAGCTTCACTGTGTTTTTGAGCTGCTAGGAATGGGTTTCTGGTTTTGAGAGGAGTGGGAGATGAGATTAAAGGCTCCATCTGTGATCAATACCACTTCACCATACCTCTCACACACACCGGTTCATGCACATTTTGTTCTTAAACACATCCTCTCCTTCAACTCTACATTCAGTCTATACACACCTTTGCATTCTTTCACTCTACTTTTTCCTCTCCCTTTCCGCACCCCCACTCTGCCCCCACCAGCTGCTCCCTCAAAAGTCAGTTGCTAGGCCTTTGGAAAAGCAAAAGATAAAGTATGATTGAGAGGCATCCTTTAAAAAAACCTACTTCAAGGTCAATTTGCTAATTCCTTTAGAAAATGAGTAAGTATGAAAAGGATCATTTTGAATTTGGGGCTTTCAGGAACTTCATTACTAAATTAAGACAGAAAGTACTTGATAAGGGAAAATACTTGATAATTGGACATTTTAGAAGCAAACTGACATTGGTGGGATAAATACATGGGATGGATTCAACTCAGCATTGTCTACGTTTAATGCCAACTTTAACATCTCCAAATTACCCTAATAAGGCTATGACCTGAAAAATTCTCCTAAAGGAGAACAAAAGTGCTCTTCCATTTTTTCTCGTTTTAAAACATCTGTGAGCTTTCTAAACGAGAGGAATTCCCATATTTGAGGGGGAAAAACACATTTATTGCCTCATAATAAGTTTTATAGTCTCAGCTCCTTTATTCTTTCTCTTGTTCATAGAATCATATTTTTATTATATTCTTTTAATACAACTAAAGTAAAATAAGCTTGCCTAAGTAGGAAAAGTTTTATTTAAATTTCGGAGGGTTATATCATTCCCATCTAAAAATATGATCTCTACAAGTGGTTTGTGTACCCTAGGTAAAAAGACTAATCTAAATCATAAATATATGGCCAAAAACACAAAGCCATCATCAACCTCATTCCCTCTTCTTCTGCATGTGAGTTTTCTAAGGACTCTCCAGATTAAATGACTTGTTCCAAATTCTACAATCAGTTTGTGTCTATTTCAAGAACAGAATGCAGCTTTCCAATTTTAAATGTGATGCTTTTTTTATTTTCCATGCAAAATATTTTGTTTAAAAAAAACATTAAATTATCAAGTATTGGAAAGAATCCTCAGGTGTGCTGAATCTCCCTCTGGCTTCTGGCAGGTGACCACTTAAAGGCTACAATAACTTGATGTAGAAAAATCTTCATCTTGAGATGTTATCATTACCTCAGACTTCAACTCTAGCCACCACTCCCAAGTAACATAAATCTAGATTACACTGTGAAGTTAAAAATAGGTCAAGAGTCAACCAAACAACTAAGAAGGCATTCTCTCAATCAAAATGACAATGAAGAAAAAGTGGCAAGTTTCATATCAAGAATGAGGAGAAAAATGCCTACTGTAACCTTTATGTCTGTTCCATTTGAATGACTTTCATGCCTTTTGTGTTTGTGCATGCCAGTTTATCAAGGATCATAGTGCCTTCAGCATCTCAATGAAGGCCTTTTTAGACTTTGTTTCAATTCTAAGAATTACGGGATTTGTCATCAGGCTACTTGAATATATGGAAAGTGGAGAGTTGATATACTGATAGGGATTTTTTTTTATTATTTTTGAAGCAAACAGGAATATGGAACAAAATATTTTGAAAATTAAGTCACCAGTATCTTCAAGTTTTCCCTTTACCAAAATTGAGAAAATAACAGCTGTTTTTCCTGATTCCATTACATGGTAGATACATTTTGTGTGCCTTGTGTAATTTTTCTCATTTTTCTTTATCAATATTAATAGATCAATGATCAATTATTATTGAGCACTGATATGAGCTAAACTTTTTTTAGACTTTGCAAACACTGAGAGAATGGTATCTTTAATTTCTGATTTTTTTACTATATATAAATTATACTTCGAGATCGCACCACTGCACTCCAGCCTGGGCGACAGAGCGAGACTCCGTCTCAAAAAAAAAAAAAAAAATTATACTTCAGTTTCATAATGTAGAAACGTGATGCTTTTTCTTAAAGAGATAACATGAGTGGGGCTATAAGGCTAATATATACAAAATACACACACACATACACACATCTATATGTGTGTGTGTGTATATACACACAAGCACATACACACAGCCTCACATCCACATACATATACATGAACATTTATCTAGATGACAAACTATAGAATTGAGAACTCAATGGGGTGATATAGAGGTAGGTAGATAGTAAGTTCTATAAATCAGTGAAAATTTGAGATCAATGAAACCTATCATAGTCAAAAACTGTTTACAGGAAGAAAACAAATGTGGGCTGTGCCTGATAGGGAGGACATAATAGGTAAGGGAAAGTACGTATATTCTTTTATTTTTATGTTTATTTGTAATTAACACATAATAACTGTGTATATTTGTAAGATACATTGTGTTGTTAGATCTGTGTATACATTATAGAGACAATCAAGTCAATTAACATATCCATCACCTCCCCAACTTATTTTTATATGTGTGATGAGATGTTAAAATTATACTATTTAAGCAATTTTGAAATACAAAATACATCATCATTAACTGTGGTCACCCTGCAGTGCAATAGATCACTAAAACTTATTCTTCCAGTCTAACTGAAGTTTTTTGTCCTTTGACCAACATCTTCTCTTTCCCCATCTCTCCCCGATTCCCTGTAATCTACTTTCTCTTTCTATGAGATTGACTCTTCTAGATTCCTCATGTAAGTGAATTTATAAAATATTAATCTTTCTGTGCCTGGCTTATTTCACTTAGCATAATGTGCTCCAGTTCCATCCATATTATCACAAATAACATAATTCCCTTCCTTTTTTCAGCTGTGTAACATGCCATTGTGCATATATATATATGTGTGTATATATGTATCTGTATACATATAGCTACACACACACACACACACACACACACACACATATATATGTATCTCACATTTTCTTTATCCATCCAGCCATTGATGGCAGGTGCTTTGGTTGCATCTGTATCTTGGCTATTCTGAGTAATGCTGAAATCCACATGAGAATGCAGATATCTCCTTCATATATGAATTTCAATTCCTTTGAATATATACCCAGAAGTGGGATTGCTGGATCATATCGTAATTCCAGTTTTAGCTTATTGAGGAACCATCAAACTATCTCCCAAAATAGCTGTACAAATATACATTTCCACCAACAGTGTACAAGGGTTCCCTTTTCTCCACATCCTCATGTGGAGAGTGAGGATTCGGAGAATAACTGTGAAATATAACACTTATTATCATTCATCTTTTTTATAATAGCCATTCTAATAGATGTGAGGTGATATCTCATGTGGTTTTAATTTCCATGTCTTTAATGATTAGTGATGTTTCACATTTTTTCATAGATGTTAGTGATTCATATCTTTTTTTGAGAATTATCTGTTCAGATCACTTGCCTATTTTGAAATTGGGTTATTAATATTTTTGCTGTTAAGTTGTTTGAATTCCTTGTTTTTGATACTAGCTCTTTATCAGACATATGGTTTGCATATATTTTCTCCCAGTCCATGAGTTGTCTCCTCACTCTGTTGTTTCCTTTGTTATGCAAGAGCTTTTTAGTTTGACACAATTTAATTTGTCTCTTTTTGCTTTTGTTGCCTATACTTTTGGAGTCCTAGCCAAGATATCATTGCCCAGACTAATATCATGGAGTTTTTTCCCCATGTTTTATTTGAGTAACTTTACAGTTTCAAGTCTTATATTTAAGTCTATATTTTATCCAATTTGAGTTGATGTTTGTATATGGTGTGAAATAGTACAGTTTTATTCTTTTGCATGTGGATATCAAGTTTTCCCAATGTCACATATTAAAGACATTCTCTTTCCCTCATTATGTGTTCTTGCCACCTCTGTTGAAAATCAATTTATAAATACTTAGGTTTATTTCTGGGCTTTTGATTCTGTTTTACTGGTCTATGTGTTTGTTTTTATGCCAGTCCCATGCTTTTTTGATTTATAATAGCTTTATAGTGTATTTTGAAATCAGGAAATGTGATGCTCAAGCTTTGCTCTTTTTGTTCAAAATTTCTTTGGGTATTCAGAGTCTTTTCTGCTTCCATATGAACTTAAGGATTATTTTTTATATTTCTGTGAAAATAACATTGCAATTTTGATAGGTTTTGCATGGAATCTGTAGATTACTTTAGGTAATATGAACATTCTACCAATATTACCTGACCATGGGATATATTTTTATTTATCTATGTCTTCAATTTTTTAGTCAATGTTTTATAATTTTCAATAAACACATCTTTCACCTCCTTGGCTAAATTTACTCCTAAGTATTTTTTATGTTATTGTAAATGGGATTGTTATTTTCCATTTCTTTTTAAGATAGCTCATTATTAATGTGTAGAAATACAAGTGATTTTTGTATTTTGATTTTGTGACCTACAAATTTGTTTATCAGTTCTAACAGTTTTTTTGGTGGAGCTTTTAGGGTTTTCTGCATATAAGATCGTGTCATCAGCAAACAGAGATAATTTCACTTCTTCTTTTCATATATGATGTCTTTAGCTTATTCTTGCCTAAATGCTCTGGCTAGGATTTCAAGTGCTATGTTGAATATAAGTGGCAAGATTGGGCATTCTTGTTGCTGACCTTACAGGACAAGCTTTCAGCATTTCACTGTTGAGTCTGATATTAGCTGTGGCCTTATCATACATGGCTTTTATTGTATTGGGGTACATTTATTCTATACCTAGTTTTTTGAGAGTTTTAAACATAAAGCGATATTGAATTTGTCAAATTTTTCTGCTTCTACTCAGATGATCATGTGCTTTGGGTTCTTCATTTTGTTAGACATGCCTTACAAGAAGTACTAAAAGGAGTTATTCAACCTAAAGGAAAAGATACCCCTAAGTAGAAACAAAAATATATAAAAATATGGTCAGAGTGGATGCAGGTGTGAGAGGGTCCAGCAGAAGGAAACATGGCTGCCAGCATGTTTGAGTCTATTAACAAGTTTGGCCTGGCCTTATAGCTGTTGTAGGAGGCATGGTGAACTCTGCCTTATACAGTGTGCATGCTGGACACAGAGCTGCCATCTTTGACTGATTCTGTGGCATACAGGACATTGTGGTACAGGAAGGGACTCACTTTCTCATGCCATGGGTACAGAAACCAATTTTCTTTAACTGATGTTCTTGACCATGTAATGTGCCAGTCATCACTGGTAGCAAAGACTTACAGAATGTCAACATCATACTTTGTATCCTCTTCTGGCCTGTTGCTAGCCAGTTTGCGCACATCTTCACCAGCATCGGAGAGGACTACAATGACTCTGTGCTGCCATCCATCACTACCAAGACCCTCAAGTCAGTGGTGGCTCACTTTGATGCAGGAGAACTGATCACCCAAAGAGAGCTGGTCTCCAGGCAGGTGAGTGATGACCTTACAGGTCATCTTTGGGCTCATCCACCCACCTTTGGGCAAGCAGCCACCTTTGGATGGCATGTCCTTGACACATCTGACCTTTGAGAAGGAGTTCACAGAAGCGGTGGAAGCCAAACAATTGGCTCAGCAGGAAGCAGAGAGGGCCAGATTTGTGGTGGAAAAGGCTGAGCATCAGAAGAAGGCAGCCATCATCTTTGCCGACGGCAACTCCAAGACAGCAGAGCTGATCCCCAACTCACTGGCCATGGCGGGGACAGTCTGATTGAGCTGTGTAAGTTGGAAGCAGCGAGACATTGCATTCCAGCTCTCATACTCTGGGAACGTCACCTACCTGCCTGTGGGGCAGTCCATGCTCCTCCAGCTGCCCCAGTGAGGGCCCACCCTGCCTTCACCTCTGAGGGCCAACTAGGCCACAGCCCAGTGATTCTTAACAATGCTTCCTTTTGCCCCCACCCCAGATTGGATGATTTCCAAATGACCTGTTTTCTAGTTCATCAATCCTTCTTCTGCTTGTTCTACTTGGCTGTTGAAACCCTCTTTTGAATTGTTATTATTATATTCTTCAGCTCAATAATTCCTGTTTGGTGTTTTCTAATATTTCCTATCTCCGTTTTAACGTTCAGTTTGCTCATGTGTTGCACTCCACACCTCAGTGAGCATCTTTATTACTGTTCTTTTGAACTGCCTATAAAGTAAATTCTATGTCTCCATTTCATCAAGGTTGGCTTCTAGAGATTTATCTTATCTTTTATTTGAAATGTATTTTCCTATTTCTTCATTTTCCTTGACTCTGTGGGATTCAGTACCTTAGATAAAAGAACCACCTCTCCCAGTCTTGCTAGACTGGTCTTGCGTTGGAGATATTCCTCCCAATTAGTATAGCCGGAGATTCTAGGTGCCTCAAAACACTTTGTTTGTCCAACCTGCTTTGCTTTTATTGGTCCCTGTATTAGTCCGTTCTCACACTGCTAGTAAAGACATACCCAAGACTGGGTAATTTATAAAGGAAAGAGATTTAATTGACTCACAGTTCCACATGACTGGGGAGGCCTCACAATCATGGTGGAAGGCAAAGGAGGAGGAAAGTGACATCTTACATGGAGGCAGGAAAGAGCGCTTGTGTAGGATAATGCCCCTTTATAAAACATCGGATCTCATGAGACTTACTATCACAAGAACAGCAGCATGGGGGTAACCACCCCCATGATTCAAGTACCTCCCACCAGATTCCTCCCACAACATGTGGGAATCATGAGAGCTACAATTCACGATGAGATTTGGGTGGAGACAGAGCCAAACCATATTGTTCCACCTCTGGCCCCTCCCAAATGTGAGCCCCTCATGTCCTCACATTTCAAAACCAATCATGCCTTCCCAACAGTCCCCCAAAGTCTTAACTCATTTCAGCATTAACTCAAAAGTCCACAGTCCAAAGTCTCATCTGAGACAAGCCATGTCCTTTCTGCCTATAAGCCTGTATAATCAAAAGCAAGTTAGGTACTTCCTAAATACAATGGGGGTACAGTCATTCAGAAAATACGGCTGTTCCAAATAGGAGAAATTGGCCCAAATGAAGAGGCCTACAGGCTTCATGCAAGTCTGAGATCCAGTGGGGCAGTGAAATCTTAAAGCTCCCAAATGATTCCGTTGACTCCATATCTCACATCCAGGTCTTGCTGATGCAAGAGGTGGGTTTCCATGGTCTTGCGCAGCTCCACCATTGTGATTTTGCAAGGTACAGGGTACAGCTCCACTCCTTACTGCTTTCACAGGCTGGCACGGAGTGCCTTTGGCTTTTCCAGGACATGGTGCAAGCTGTTGGTGGATCTACCATTCTAGGGTCTGGAGGACGGTGGCCCTCTTCTCACAGATCCACTGGACAATGCCCAGGGGGGACTCTGTGTGGGGGCTTGCACCCCACATTTCCCTTCCACACTGCTCTAGCAAGAGGTTCTCCCTGAGGGCTGCACCCCTGTAGCATACCTCTATCTGGACATTCAGGCATTTTCACACATCCTCTGAAACCTAGGCAGAGGTTCCCAAACCTCAATTCTGGACTTCTTTGCACCCACAAGCCCAACACCATGTGTAAGCCACCAAAGTTTGGGGCTTGCACCCTCTAAAGCAACAGTCTGAGCTCTACATTTGCCCCTTTTAGCCATGGCTGGGATGCAGAGCACCAAGTCCCAAGACTGCATAAAGCAATAAGGCCCTGGGCTGGCCTATGAAAAATTTTTTTGTCCTAAGTCTCCAGGCTTGTGATGGTACCAATTTACTATATTAGTCCATTCTCACACTGCTGATAAAGAAATACCCGAGACTAGGTGATTTATAAAGGAAACGGGTTTAATTGACTTACAGTTCCACATGGCTGGGGAGGCCTCACAAAATGGCAGAAGGCAAAGGAGGAGCAAAAGCACATCTTACAAAGCAGCAGGCAAGACAGCTTGTGTAGGGGAACTCCCCTTTATAAAACCATCAGATCTCATGAGACTTACTCACTTTCAAGAGAACAGCACAGGAAAGACCCACCCCCATGATTCAATTACCTCCCACTGGGTTCCTCCCACAACACATGGGAATCATGGGAGCTGCAATTCAAAATGTGATTTGGGTAGGGACACAGCCAAAGCATATCAATCCCCAAGAAATTAGTGATTGCCAAGTCATGCTATTGCCTTGAGAGAGTTGGAATAGCACCCAGTCTCTTGGGATTCAGCTAGAGAGGCTACAGTGTTAGAGGTGTGTTCCAGTTTCTTATTTTCTTGCAGAGAAGCTGAGAGCCAAAGTTTGTCCCACTTATTCTGTCCTTCACCAAGGAGACAGCCTGAAGCAGCTGCCTCTGCTCATAATCAGAATGCTCACTTTGAGTCTAGTGAGAGAGATGCTGAATATTTCCAAGTTTAAAAGTCTTTTCTTGTTCCCTGTGGTCTAGGAGACTCAGGAGTGCAGAGCTCTGTCAACTCCCATAGCTAGGTGATTTAAGAGCCATTCTCTTGGGTAAAGGCTATAAAAGTTGGGGCACTCAATGCATGCACAAGCTACTCCCAGTGAGAGTCTGCATATCTAGATTTACTGCCGGGGCAAGTCAGGGAAAAATATGCAGGGAGAGCCCACTCTCCCATTCAAACAAGTGGAAGTCTCACACCCTCCTAGCAGGGGAAGAATGTAGTCCAGAATTATCACTGAAACAAAGCAGGGAAGAAGGTGCAGGGAATGCCTACTTTTCCATTCAGGAATGAAGAGGTCCTCCAGTCTCTCTTTAATGAGAGATTGCAGAAATTTATCTCAAAAGCAAGCCAAGGAAGGAAGCAAGGGGCATGCCCACTCTCCTGTTAAGGCAAGCCGAACTTTTACATCTCTCTTGCCGGGGTAGACTGAGATTACAGGAATTTATCTTAGGAGCAAGCCAGAGAAGAATGTACATACAGGACATGCCTTCCTTTCTGTTTAAGCTGGAGGCGGCTTATTCTTTATTGGCTATGTAGGTTCCCAGATACTGGCTTGTTAAAAGGCCAGAACCACAGGAAGCTGATAGGAAAGCCTGAGACCAAATTTGGGGGAATTTAGAAGCTGGGCCAATCCTCAGTGCTATAGCTGCTAGGAGGGCTCATGTTGTGTCCAGAATTGGTGGATTCTTGGTCTCACTGACTTCAAAAATGAAGCTGCGGACCCTTGCAGTGAGTGTTACAGTTCTTAAAGATGGTGTGTCTGGAGTTTATTCCTTCTGATGTTCGGACGTGTCTAGAGTTTCCTCCTTCTGGTGCGTTCATGGTCTCACTGGCTTCAGGAGTGAAGCTGCAACCTTCACAGTGAGTGTTACAGCTCTTAAAGGTGGCGCGTCTGGAGTTGTTTGCTCTTTCCGTCCAGAGCTGTTCGTCCCTCCCGGTGGGTTCGTGGTCTCGCGGGCTTCAGGAGTGAAGCTACAGACCTTCTCGGTGAGCGTTACAGCTCATAAAGGCAGCCCGGACCCAAAGAGTGAGCAGCAGCAAGATCTATCGTGAAGAGCAAAAGAACAAACCTTCCACAGCGTGGAAAGGGACCTGAGTAGGTTGCCGCGGCTGGCTTGGGTGGCCTTTTATTCCCTTATCTGGCCCCACCCACATCCTACTGATTGGTCCATTTTACAGAGAGCTGATTTGTCCGTTTCACAGAGAGCTGATTGGGCTGTTTTCACAGAGTGCTGATTGGTGCATTTACAATACTTTAGCTAGACACAAAATTTCTCCAAGTCCCCACCAGATTAGCTAGACACAGAGCACTGATTGGTGCGTTTACAAAACCTTTAGCTAGACACAGAGTGCTGATTGGTGTGTTTACAAAACCTCTAGCTAGACACAGAGTGCTGATTGGTGCATTTACAATCCTTTAGCTAGACAGAAAAGTTCTCCAGGTCCCCACCCTACCCAGAAGCCCAGCTGGCTTCACCTCTCAATGGCACTCGCTGGGGGACTTTGCGGCACCTAGCCTGGGCACTCTGGCAGCCCAGAGAGAGCTTGTCCCCCAGTCAAGCCCAGCAGGTGCTGGCCGGCCACGCTGGGTGCGGGGCCCACCGAACCCATGCCCACCCAGAACCCGGCCGGCCCACGGGTGCTGCGTGCAGCCCCAGCTCCTGCCCGCACCTCTCCCTCCACACCTCCTGGCCAGACCAGGGAGCTGGCTCCCGCCTTGGCCAGCCCCAGAGAGGGGCCCCCACAGCACAGCGGCCTGCTGAAGGGCGCCTTGAGCTCAGCAAGAGCGGACGCTGAGGCCGAGGCCGAGGAGGTGCCGAGAGCAAGCGAGGACTGCTAGCACGTTGTCACCTCTCGATGTGATTCAAACCTTTTTGTTTTTTCCTTTTATGTTTGAGATAAATCTTCTGATGCCCTCTCCCTGTGGTTCATCAAGCATGGTGATTGAAGAGCCGAGCCCTCTGTAAAGACTGCAAAAGTTGGCACTTTATGTGTCGTACAAGCAAGCCCCTTACCCCTCAGGAAGAAGCTGGTAGTTGAGATTTTTCCTCTCAATTGTAAGGCTCTGTGCTCTGGGTGGAGCTAGTGTATGAGTGTATTTCTGCTTTCAATATCCATTTTGATGTGAGTATTTCTCAGTAGTCTGGCATGTACGGGTCTTTCATCTGGATTTTGGCTTTCTCTTGGAGAGAACTGACTCATGTTTAGGTGTATACTAGATGTGTCTGTGGGATGAGAGGTAGCCCAGAGCCTGCTCTTTCACCATGTTGCTGACATACCCTCATATATTATTTCATAATTTTAATTTCCCAAATTGTATCAAGTTATTAAATTCCTCTCTATTTCACTGCCATCACCTTGGGCAAAGTCATTATCATCTCTGTTCTAGATTGTTGCAATAACTCCTCAATAAATCACTCATTTACTCAATTCCAATTCATTGCCAAATAAAAGCTAAGTATCTTTATGTGAATTAGTTTGCCTTAATCCTCATAACAATATTATTTTACCAGGTTTGCTGGGCTAGATTCTTCTAGTTTCATTTTATTATCTGAGACCCAAATCACAGAAAAATGACATAACTGAGGTCACCCAGCTAGTAAGTTGCAGAGCTAGGATATAATATCAGGAGCTATAGCCTCTACTCATAATCATTGTACTATATGGTCTCCATTATTATTTGTTTTCAATAAGACTATATTAAAGGATGACTTCGTGCCAGAGGTAGTATGTTTATGGGTTAGGGGAAAGATAAAGATTAATATAAAAACAAGCAGCTGCATGAATTTGGTACAACAGCTGTAAAATTAGAAACAATAGTAGCACTGGAACTGACATTGCAAAGTGGAGCTTATGAAGTTTATGAACTTTAATTAAAATGTCACTGATGTGGGTGCCAAAAATCATGAAAAGGATAAAGTATGTTCGTTAATTGTCTCCTAGCAGGGGAAATAGAGTAGATAATCAAATGAGCAATGGGCATTTTACATTTTGATTAAGAACCTTCTCCATCATAAGACATTTATAAAAATATCTGAGAACAAAGACAAGCTTTAATTCCCTGTGGATAATAGGATAGTTTATATTGTATACATGGTCAAATTTACTTGAAAGAGATAAAATATAAAATATTAATCTGTTGAAAGCCTAGAAAATAACAATCTGATATACTCAGTGATACAAAGTAATTCAGATATCACTTGTTCATGTGAATGAGACATCATGTTTTATTCAGCTTATACAGTTTGTTCAGACATTGTAAAATAATTTCAGGGAATAAAATGCGGTATTCTAATTAGAAGCTAATAGACTATTATTTTAGACTCCACACAGTGTACATAACTCCTGGACATTGATGTTGTAATTTTAAAGAAACACAACATTTTTAAGACCTGAATAAAATTCTTTTTAAAAAGCAAGAATCAGCGAGTAATCTATAGATGTTGATTTCCCTGAGAAATTATGGCAATAAAAGTTAAATAATATCCAAGTATCATTTTACTTCATCCCATATCAAGTGCCAGGCATAGTTCCTTGTTTCTTTACACATAAAATCTTGTTAGAGTCTTGGAAGTAGTCATTATTATTCCCACTTTCCACTGGGAAAGTTAAGGCCTTGAAGACTTAAATAATAATTTTCACAAGTATACATAGCATGTGACAGAGCCTGTAGAAAAATTCTGTTTGCTTATTTCATAGCCCAAGTTCTTAATGACTGGGTCATAATGTTCCTTCTTTCTTTTCTCACTGCCTTTTAAAATGTTGAGGGTACAATAAAGGAAATTATCGAGGTAGTCATTGTGGACTCCACTCAATTTGAGTTCTTTCTGCTTTAACATTTATTTTTTTCACATTACCGTGGAGTCTAAATATATGACATTTATCTGGTCAATATTTCATAAGTTAAATGTTTTATTCTTGTATTAGCTTAGTATTACTATGAGTAGATATTAACTTAGTATTACTATGAGCCTAATTAATGCATAGTGTTATGCATTTCTACCTTAATCTTTTTATTTTTGTGCAAATTTTGAGGAGAGGCTTTACCTAGGAAATGCAATATCAGCATTTATCTACACATTCTGTGAGCACAGATGGCTGATGGGAGAAGCACTCACATTATTTCAAGAGTCAGTAGCCTATGGCATACAGGCAAAACATGAGCCAGTATCCATTGAGTTATGGAACAGTTGCCACCACTTCTTTGTATCTATCCTCAATATATTTAAGAAATGCCTTTATCTGTGAGAATCAAAGTCAGACAGGTTTTCCTTGTCTTACAAATATCAATGCTTGCAGCATTATACCTGTATATGTACATAAAAATGTCATTACATGTCAGGAGAATAACATAAAATCTGAACTTTCGTATATCCTTATCTTTGCCAATTAAGATGGAAAGGAGTGAGACCATTGGAACCCTACTTTAAAAGATTTCAAACCAGATTTCATTTCCTGTTCTGTGTGCACGTTCAGGATGTAGGGGAAAACAAAACAATATCTTTTCCCTGCCTGTCACAAGGTTTATGACCAACACTCTTATGAAAAAGACAGACAGATTCACAAAAGGAAATCATGACAAATTTATTTAACCCAAGTTTTATGTCAAATGAGAGCCTTCAGAAATGAAGACCTAAAGATCCAAGAATTTTCATCCTTAAGCATTTGTTTCATAACTCAATGACACTTTTATCCTTAGGATCCAAGAAGAATGGACAGTCATATAGAAGTATGATTGGACAAAAATTAAGTGTGATCTAATGGAATTAAAGGAGGCAGGGCACTTAGCAAGGTCTGTTTGTTCAGATTCTTCTTGGCCTGCAAATATAGGGCAGAACCCCTGTGAAACTAGAGTCTTATGATCTTCTTTTAGGAAAAGTAAGTCAGAGAATTTCTTTATGGCTATACTTCAGGGTAGAAAGGTGGGAGAAGGTCAGAATGGCCTCCTGGCTACGGCAGTTTTTTCAGTTGCCAACTTGACATATTTTGGAGTATTATGTTCAGAGCCCTGATATTGGCAGAGAACCAATAAACCCACAACCTATGGGAGGACCAAGAAGCAACAGAGTGGAAATAAAGAGCCCTGTGCATCTAACTCACACAACCATAGTGCTAATCCATATTTATAGAAAGGCAAATGGAGAGTCATGAGGACAACTGTCAGTCAGTAGTTTATATTAAACAGGGCTTAGTCTGAATTTAGTGGAGTACAGATTTAAAATGACTTTTTTCCCCCCAATTATTGCTTTTATGCTCTGAAGAATACTCATTTTCAGTCCTTAATGTTATTTAGCACTGATTTTATAGCTTTGTAATCACTTCTCGTTATTGAAAATTCTTTTTATTTTATTTATTTATTTATTTATTTATTTATTTTTGCGATGGAGTCTCTCTCTGTCACCCAGGCTGGAGTGCAGTGGCGCGACCTTGGCTCAATGCAACCTCTGCCTCCCGGGTTCAAGTGATTCTCCTCCCTCAGCCTCCCAAGCAGCTGGGATTATAGGCACCCACCACCATGTGCCCAGCTAATTTTTTATTTTTTTATTTTTAGTAGAGACGAGGTTTTACCATGTTGGCTAGGCTGGTTTCAAACTCCTGACCTGAGATGATTGGCCCACCTGGGCCTCCCAAAGTGCTAGGATTACAGGTGTGAGGAACCATGCCCAGCCATTAGAGAAAGCTCTAATGTCCACTGTAAAGCCTTGATTTTTGTAGGCACACATAGCTCACATTCTCTTCTCTCCCTAGGCCCATGATGAAAGAGGAGCTTGGAATGAGAGAGGGCAGGGGTTTGTGGGTTGCCTTCCCCAATGGGTAGGGTGAAATGGGAAGGCTAGAAAAACGGCAGGTCTTTTCTGATAAGTTTGATGATGGCTTGCCGTTGTTGGCTTCATATGGTTCCACTTGCTATTGGTGGCCTTACCCAGGTGATTATCTTCTATACATAGTTTTACTGTTTTCTTAAAACTGTGCTCAGCTTCAGCCTTTATTTCTTCTCTTTTCCAAGGGCCTTTTGGAGAGGAAGATCTTAGTCTCTATTTCACCCAACTGCCTTTCTCAAAGTGTGCCTCCTTGCTGATCTGCCATATTGTTAGTCCCATAGCTCATTCTTTCTTTTCTATGTTCCATGCTCTATAGAGCCCAGAAATGACTGAGGTCTTGTCCAGATGCTATTAAAGACCACTTCCTCCAAGGTTCACTGCATCACTGGACCTATCAATTCTGCTGGAACAACCTGTAAAATAAACCCCAACCATAGCTTCAGAATTCACTAGATTGGGAGTGGTCTCTCTTTTACTAGGGTCATGTAGCTCTCTGAACACATTCTTCTCTGCTCTAAAGGCAGCACCAGGATAACGTGCTAATTTGCTGTACAACTGTCCAGCTGGGAGAGAAATACCAGTCTCTCCATTCAGTTAGCTCCCTTGTTTGGGTGAAGGAGGAAAGAAGCTCTTCATTTATGAGTATTCCATAGGAAGGGAGGGAAAAGCCTCTTTACCAAACACCTTGCATTTTTCACAATAAAGAGAAGACCTTAAATTCCGTCTCATGTATAACAAGTCGTGTCATTTCTTCTGAAATTGGAGCACCTTTCCTGGTCACAGAATGAATGTTGAGTACTCTACTAAATCATGTCTGAGAGAGAGAGAGGAATACAAATAAACAAGTTACAGATTGTGGTAAGCAAAGAGGGAACTAAACAGGGTTCTCTTAGAGAAAATAACTGGGGTGGGGCTACTTTATTTTTATTTTATTTTTTTAAAGATTCTTTTTTTTTGTTATTATACTTTAAGTCTGGGATACATGTGCAGAATGTGTAGGTTTGTTACATAGGTATACACCTGCCATGGTGGTTTGCTGCATCCATCAACCCGTCAGCAATTGGAGAAGACCTCTCTGATGAAGTGATGTTTCAGCTGAGATGACAAGTATGGCAAAGAGGTAGCCAAGGTGAAGTGCTGACAGAATTGTATTCCGGGTACAGGGGAAGGAGATTTGAGAATTTGGTGTGTGAAAAGGTATGTGGTATGTTATTCTAGAATGTGGCAGAAGGCCAGTATCACCAGTGTTTTTTGACAGAGAGGGAGAATAAGGTATGGTCTTAGAGGCCCTGCTAAAGGATTTTGTTTATATTCACAGTGCAATGAGAAACCATTCAAGGATTTAAGCAGGGAAGTAAAATTAAGTAATTAAATTTTTAAAAGACCACTTTGATTTCTCACTACAAAACAAATTGCAGAAAGCAACACTGAAAGCAGCAAGACAATTAAGAGTCTGTTGAATTGACAGATAAGAGATGCTGGTGATTAGGACAAGGATGGTGGCCGCGGAAACAGAGAGAGGGCTCCCACAAAATTCATGTATTGAAGCCTTCAATTACTGCCTCACATATGGCCTGTGAGGAGGGAATTGAAGATAAATGAGGTCAGAAAGGTGGGGTCCTAATTTGATAGGACTGATATCCTTATAAGAAGAGAAAGAAATACCAGACTGCTCTCTCCATGATGTAAGGACACAGCAAAAAGATAGTCATCTACAAGTCAGCAAGAACACCCTTATGAGGAACTGACCATGCTGGCACCTTGATCTTTAACTTCCCAGCCTATAGAACTGTGAGAAAGAGATTTCTGTTGTTTAAGCCTCCCAGGATTTTGTTATGGCAGCGCAAGCAAACGAAAACAGATGGCTATATGGAGAATTATTTTACAGATAGCACTACTAGGATTTAATAATAGATTGCATATGCATACAGATGATGAAAGAAATAAGTCAATGATATGTTCTAGTTTTATTTAGTTATTTATTTTACTTTACTTGTGTATTTATTGGTTTGACTATCTGGGTGAATGTTGGCACCATATACTATCAATTGGAAAAAAAAAATAGAAAAAAATAAGACCTGGCTGACAGAACAGGGGTGAATCAACAAACCAAGTTTGAACATTTCTGTTTGTATGTTTCTGGGACATACAAGAGGAGGTATCAAGTAGATGTATGGATACACAAGTCTGGATCCCAGAAAAGAGGTCTGGGCTGAGATGTAAATTTGAGATTGTTGGCATGCAGGTCCTATGTAAATTAATAGTAACAAGTGAGACCACCCATGAAATGTATAAAGAGAGATGAAGGCCAACATTTAAATATAAATTTAAAGTAAAAATGGATAAACATATAAGAAGAGGAAAATCAGGAGACTCCAAGAAAACAGTCAACAAGATAATAAATGCATCAAGGGATATTTGTTATTTTGACCAGAGGAATTGTGAGGAGCTACATAAATAAACAGTATTTTTTACAGTAGGTCAAAAACGAATGTAAATTGAGGAAGGGAAAGAACATATATCACTAAATACATATATAATATCACTAAATTACATAAATATAATTTATATAAATATATAATTTATATATAAATATATATGAAATATATATAAATTATATATAATTTATATATACATATATAAATTATATATAAATTATATATAAATTATATATACATATATAAATTATATATTATATATAAAATTGTATATATTTATATATAAATTGTATATATAATTTATATATAAATTGTATATATAATTTATATATACAATGTATATATTAATTTATATATACATTGTATATATAATTTATATATACATTGTATATACAATTTATATATACATTGTATATACAATTTATATATACATTGTATATACAATTTATATATAAATTATATTATTTATATATAGTATATATAAATATATATACTATATATAAATTATATATTTATTTATATATTATATTATTTATATATAAATTATATATTATTTATATATACATTATATATAAATTATATATTATTTATATATACATTATATATACATTATATATTATTTATATATACATTATATATTCATTAGAATCTTAATTGTCTTTCTGCTTTCACTGTTGTTTCCTAAGAACATGTATCGCTAATATGCTAAAATTACATAATTCATAATTCTACCGTAACAAAAATATAAAATATATATTACAGATACAAATATATTATATATAAAATATAAAATGTAGATAAAATATATATTTTATATTATTTAATGGTAAAAGGAAACAGATAGGATATAGATATTAAACAATTGATTTTTTGTGTGTTTTATAAATTTTTGAAGCTATTTGAAAGATAGACGACTTTAGAAGGTATTATGCAAAGATAGGCATAATCTAGTAATGAGAAACGTTAATATTTCAGGAGAAAAGCAAGGGAAATGACTAAATTAGTGACATCCTTAAGAAAGATACAAGGGATATAATGGAGGACTGAAAAAGAATATTGATTTATCTGTGATAGGATAGCGATTAACTGCCTCCATTTTAACAGGAAGAATGTAAAAATGTGCGTAATCACAAGAAGGTTCATATATTTCATGAAGCTAGGAAGATGAGGAAGTTATCAATCAATGAAATACTTTTTTTTTTTTTTTTTTTGAGACAGAGTCTCACTCTCGCCCAGGCTGGAGTGCAGTGGCGTGATCTCAGCTCAGTGCAACCTCCGCCTCCCGGGTTCACGCCATTCTCCTGCCTCAGCCTCCAGAGTAGCTGGGACTACAGGCGCCCGCCACCATGCCTGGCTAATTTTTTTTTTTTTTTCTATTTTTAGTAGAGACAGGGTTTCACTGTGTTAGCCAGGATGGTCTCGATCTCTTGACCTCGTGATCCGCCCACCTCGGCCTCCCAAAGTGCTGGGATTACAGGCGTGAGCCACCGCGCCCGGCCTGAAATACGTTGATTATTTAAGAATGAGCTTCCCTGTCTTTTAAGGGGGAGGAAGGTTTCTATTCTTCTCGTATATTCATCTGTATTTCAGTGTTTGTTGGACCTATTTTTCTGCTAGCATTACACTGTTTAAAAATTATAAAATAAAAAAATAGATTTACATGAAATGCACAAACCATTATTGATTATTATGACTTATTATTTATCATCTTTTATCTTCTGATAAAAAAAGTGGTTGTCTCTTACTGCTACCCAAGTCCAATAGCAGCTCTTTTCTAAGCTAAATGTTATCTGAAGGGTCAGGTGAAAAGATAGTTTTTTTTTCTTTCTTTCTCTCTTTTTTTTTTTTTTTTTTGAGATAGAGTTTCGCTTTTGTCACCCAGGCTGGAGTGCAATGGCGCGTGATCTCGGCTCACTGCAACCTCTGCCTCCCGAGTTCAAGCGATTCTCTTGCCTCAGCCTCCTGAGTAGCTGGGACTACAGGCGTGTGTCACCACATCCGGCTGATTTTTGTATTTTTAGTAGAGACGGGTTTTTGCCATGTTGGTCAGGCTGGTCTCAAACTCCTGACCTCACATGATCTGCCCACCTCGGCCTCCCAAAGTGGTGGGATTACAAGTGTGAGCCACCGCACCTGGCCAGAAATGGCCAGAAAGATATTTTTCTTTCAAAAAAAGTAACTCTACTTAAATCAGATGTATCAAATGAAAACAATGTTAGTTACAGTATAAAACCATGTTTTCCAAATTTTGTAAAACAGCGACTATGACTTCTATTTATTGTGACAAGAAAACCTGTAGCATATATGTTATATATATATATAATTGTATGTATAGTATTGTGTGTATGCACATATATAGAAATAGTATAAGCTATGATTATACAACATAATTTCATAGAAATCAGTATTTTATGGCTAGTTTGCATAATACTTAGCCTCAAATACACAGTGAATTCTAGGATACTAAGAAATATATGGTATATTTTCTAAGAATTTATAGTTTTAAAGGAGTGATAAGGAAGTGAATAATTGTAATCAGTCCTAAAAGCATGCTTAAAATAAAAAAGGTACACATTACTAAATCTCCCCCCAGAGCTTTCTAGAAGAAATGATCTTGGTGAAGATGAGTTTTGAAGGATATGTAGACCTTGAGCACCTATAAAGGTGCCCTAACACATCTTAATAATAAATCCAAAGGCTTAAGATGCAAGGTATATGACCAGCTTAGAATGAATGATCGTTTATAATTCCAGATGGATGGAGAGTAACTGATTTTTCTCCAAATCAAATTTAGTTTTTGACAATGGCATGTAACATGTACAGATTCATTAATAGCAGATTTGGGTACCAAATCTACTAACTAGCAATTAGGTTAACTACTAGAAACTAGAAATTAGGTATTCTAATAAAGAGACATACATTAAATGTGTCTTACCTCCATAATTCCAATGCTACAAGTATTTAAATATATCAAGATCTTCCAAATTCGCATCCTTTGCCAAAAGTAAGTATAGTGTACCAGTTCTAAATTTTGCATCAGATATTTGCTTGAAACATGTAAAATACGAAGATTTGGCCTAAGCTTCAGTTGCTTCATCTCATACAATATTATTGCATTATTTACAATGATTGTTCCTTTTCCCAGATTTGGCAATGTGGAGGCTCCTTGGAGATTGTTACTTGCTCCCATGTTGGTCATGTTTTTCGGAAGGCAACTCCATACACTTTTCCTGGTGGCACTGGTCATGTCATCAACAAGAACAACAGGAGACTGGCAGAAGTTTGGATGGATGAATTTAAAGATTTCTTCTACATCATATCCCCAGGTACACAATTCTGACATTTTTCTTTCTCTACAGGAGAAAATAAAATTGAAACATACTGAATATGTGTTTCATTATTGCTGTTATTCTTCTAGTTAAAATATTGTTTATTACCATAATATTGCAGAAAACGGCATATGAGAAAGTTGTACTATGAAGTAAATTTTGATGTAAAATAAGAACTGTATTTCAAACACCTAAATATTATCTTTTTTTTTTCTCAACCCAAGTGTTATGCTGGAAAATTGGAGCAAGCCATACAGAGAGATCTATATTTATTATTAACTCGAATTAAGAATATTTTTAAAAATATTTTAGTAGGGGAAGATTAAATGACTTCATACAGAAACAAGATGGAAAATTATGCAGATATTTAAATTTATATTTCTGAAGAACATAGTAAATTATCAATAAATATGTGTGAAAAATAATATGAGTAAAACGTTTTCATACTTTAGTTACAGAGAAGTATATATATTGAAATAGAAGTAAACATAGGCTATCAGTGGGTGGTAGGATTATGGGTAATTCTTTTCCCTATATTTTTATATATTTTCTAATATTCATACATTACTTATTTTAAGAATTGAAAGTCATTAAAAAGGAAAAAAATGAGAAAATCCTATTACTGGGTGGTGGGATTATTAATGATTACATTCTGTATAATTTTCTAGATTTCTGCAATAGCTACATTACTTAAAACAAAAAAAGCCAAAAACTGAAGCATTTAAAAAGGGAGAAAAATAAGGATACAAAAGGACTGTTTTTATATAGGCCTTATGGTCATTAGTGTCATTATTGTCATTATTATGTAACCCATCAGGACAACAACAAAAATCCAGGCCTACATCCTCTTTCTGTAATACAATCTATTAGCTGGCTTAGAAAAGGCTATTTGATTTTAATTGGCATGCTCTGATTTTTGAAGGTATATTTAAGTGTCAATGAAAAGAGTCAAACTCTGTAAAACATTTAGAGCTTTACTCTGAACCAAATTTGAGTGAACCTGGCCCAAGGCACAGTCTGGAGAGTTCCAGAGAACATGTGCCCAAGATGGTTGGGTTATAGGTTGATGTTACACATTTTAGAGAGACATAAGACACATCAGTGAACTCATATGAGGGATATATTGGTTTGGTCAAGTTATTGTCTAAATACCTAGACTCAATAGGAAAGAGTGACTGGGTTAAGATAGGAGGTTGTGGAAACCAAGGTTCTTATTATACAGATGAAGTATCATTGGTGGCCACCTTAGAGGCAATAGTTGGCAAGTGTTTCCTATTCAAACCTTTAAAAGGTGCTAAACTCTCAGTTAATCTTCTCAGGTTTGGGAGGGACTGGAAGGGGAAAGGTCTAGATGCAGATTTTTCCCCTACAAAAGATGTCTTTGCAGGGCCATTTCGAAATATGGCAAAGAAATATACTTTGGGTTCCTTCTTTATCTGTCATATGTTTTTATGCCAGAATGAGATTGGCAATGAAGCGGCTACGTTGTCTGGAGTAAATACTAGGGGTTTGTCCTCTCATGCCAAGAAAATTTAGGACAGGGACACACACGAGGAGTTTAGGAGTGGAGGTTAAATAGGCAGAAGAAAGAAAAAGGAGGACAGCCCTCTCTCTGGTGAGAGAGAGGGCTTCCGAAAGGGAAAGACCACCAGAGTCGGATGCGCGCGATTTTATAGGCAGGCTTGAGGGGGCTGATTTACTGGGGCCCACAGAATGGTTGGATCAGGTGCGCCCTTTACATAGAGTGCGGGAAGGCTGGCCACCCCACCCTAATCTTATTATGCAAATAGACTTTCCACTCCACTGGCGCCATCTTGTCTGCTCCTTACTGTACATATGGCTGCCAAAGAGAAAAGGGAAGATGGAGTCGCTGTTTGGAACATGATTGGCCCAGCTGCTAGCATCTATATCTGCAGTTCAATTTTACAAACTGCTCTTTGTTAGAAAATGATTTTAGGGCTGCTTTTCATTAAAAAGGAAAACCTTACTGAGGACTCCTGTACCCTCACTGCCTAAGTAATTTCATCTTAACTCCTATATCAGCGACTAACCCACATTACACAGGGTTAAATAAACCCATCTAATGAGATTGTATGGTCAATACGGCATGATAGGAACTTGGACAAGAGAGGAAAAGGTCCAAGTTTAGTCCTCATAAGGAAATTCAAACTTTTTTTTTTTTTTGAGTCGGAGTCTAACTCTGTTGCCCAGGCTGGAGTGCAGTGGCGTGATCTCGGCTCACTGCAAACTCTGCCTCCCGGTTCAAGGGATTCTCCTGCCTCAGCCTCTCCAGTAGCTGGGATTACAGGCACCCGCCACCATGGCCGGCTAATTTTTGTATTTTTACTAGAAACGGAGTTTCACCATGTTGGCCAGGCTGGTCTCGAACTCCTGACTTCCAGTGATCCGCCTCAGCCTCGCGGAGTGCTGTGATTACAGGCTTGATCCACCGCGCCCGCAAAAACTTTTTTATATATAAGTACCTAGAAGAGAAGGAGCAGAAGGAGCAGTATGAAGTTTCTTATTAAGATCCAGCATCGCTATATAAAGAATGGGGGCATTGTATGTTTAAGTGTGTGATTAGGAAAAGGACTTTTTCACACGTTTTCAAGCCTCTTCTATGTTAAAAAGCTATTACGAGGAACACCATTTCATGCATAGATGTATTTCCCTTTACAGTAGAAATCTAGTCCATATGTTCAGAGTTGAATTCAGCAAGAGCATGTAATATTCAAAGCAAGGCAGTGACATTTATATAACCTTTTCATTTTCTTTTGATGATACTTTTTGAATTCAAATCATTACTTGTAGAAATATATAAGTTCAAATATGAATAAAGGAGTAATGGAGGAAAAAAGTGTGTTATGTGTGATTGCATGCAATGTACATTCAGGAATATGAGTAATTGAGAATAATTGTAATCACATGTATTATATTCATCCATGATGAATATTTGTGAAAAGTAATGTGCTAGTCTTTTGTATAATTTTCCACTGAATGAAAAAGGCAGATAAATGATGGAACCATTTCTCAAATTATAATGAAATGAATAACTTTAGAATGTAAAGCATGGGAAAAAATGCCTGCTATCTGGAACTAATGACTTTATGTTGCACAATAGGGACTGTTTGTATATCCTGGAAAGTGCAGTTTTTACATTACAATAAATAATATTTGGGGTTATTGTTTTATAAAATGGATTTATTTAAATGTAGAAAAGTAGTTTGGGAGGCAGAACAAGGACTTTTGGGGAATGTGTTGAAGATATCTAAGAACTTCCTAAAGGGCGTTTATGTTTACGTGTGTCTCAGAGACAGTCAGTGCAGCTAAGCAATGTAGAATCCACCAGCAATAGTGTGGGCAGAGGGAGGAAACCCCAAACCTGAAACACAAAACAATGAATTGCTTCTCCCTGAAAAAGGAAGAATGGACGCAGGCTAGAAACTAGTACTGGATGTCTAAAACAATTTGAGCCCTGGGAAGATTTCAGATCATCCAAAAACAGATAAAACAGGTTGCATTCAGGAAGTCAGAAATCTATTATTTTTATGACAACAATTTCAGCCATTGTTAATTTAGGCTAAAACAGCAGTGGTCATTTTAATTTAAAATCAAAATCATACACTTCTTTGCTATCCTCTGGAATTTTTGATTTTCTGTTTTTCATCACTTTGGGAATGGGTGAGTTTGTAAAGAGAGAATCTGGTGTGTGTGTTCAGGAAGGAGGGGTGGGAGCTACATGCATTCACATCCACAGTTAGAACTATATCCTTTACTATAATACACATGCACACACAAACACACACACACACACGCGTATTTATGAAAAACTCTAAAGAGTTTATGAGTTTATATTGAGCTTCTCAGAACTTCCTTAACATGGTGAAATAAATAATACTTGTTCTTTCTAGAAACTCCTCTATATATTTGTTAATTTTTCCAATATGTTTTGTGAGATTTCTACTTTTTACATGTGGGCTTCTACTCTGAGATTTTATTCTTCACTTAGGCAGTTTCTCAAACTTCAGTCTTTAAGTGCTGAGCCTTTATAACTTGAATTATGACAATAACTTACTTACTTTCAATATACTCTATAAAATATCACCTGACTACTGTATTGGTTGGCTTCAGGAATGTTTCAGCTCTATCTGTCTTGAACTGTCTGGGCATTCTTTCTCTCTTTGTATTCCTTGAAGTTTGATAACATGGGCAAACCATCATCACTTCTTACCATATTGTTTTAATTTTTATTACTTGTCTCTATATCCAAAGTAGTTCAGAGACAACTATTTACAGTGCCTAGCAACTTTCCTGTCATTTTGTTTAAAAAAATTTTGTTGAATAACTGGAAGAATGAATGAATGAATAATTTTTAAAAGAGAGCCACATTTGTTTCTTTCTGCTGAATTATCCATGGGTGTCTGGTTTATACCAGGGAGACTCTTCACAAGAATTGTGGCAAATAAGCCTTTGTCCCACCTCTCTGATCCAGCCCTGGATAAGGACCCACTGTTAAAAGAGAGGTGAAGGGTCTTCCTCATAAATCTCTTTTATTATTATTATTATTATTATTTTATACTTTGAGTTCTGGGATACATGTGCAGAACATGCAGGTTTGTTACATAGGTATACACGTGCCATGGTGGTTTGCTGCACCCATTAACCCGTCATCTACGTTAGGCATTTCTCCTAATGCTATCCCTCCCCTAACCCCCAACCCCCAACAGGCCCTGGTGTGTGATGTTCCCCTCCCTATGTCCATGTGTTCTCATTGTTCACCTCCCACTCATGAGTGAGAACATGCAGTGTTTGGTGTTCTGTTCCTGCGTTATATCATTCTGTAACCACACAGCAGGTTCTCCTTGCCCACTGCCCAGACATAGCTGATTTATGAAGACAGGGGAATTGCAATAGATAAAGACTTTAAGTCACATAAAGCTGGCTGTACAGGAGATCAGAGTTTCATTATTACTCAAATCAGTCTCCCTAAAAATTCAGGGATCAAGGTTTTTAAGGATAATTTGGTGGGGGGGGGGTCAAGAAATGGGGAGTGCTGATTAGTCAGAGATGAAATCATAGGGTATTGAAGTGGGTTTTTCTTGCAGTCTTCTGTTCCTGGGTGGGATCACAGAACTGGTTGAGCCAGATTACCCGTCTGAGTGGTATCAGCTGTTGCATCAAAATGTAGGGTCTGCAAAATGTCTGCAGCAATGATCTTAGGTTTTACATCACAACAGTGATATAATCCCCAGGAGCATTTTGGAGAGGTTCAGAATCTTGTGGCCTCTGGCTGCATGACTCCTAAACCATAATTTTTCATCTTGTGGCTAATTTGTTAGTCCTACAAAGGCAGACTAGTCCCTAGGCAAGAAGGTGGTTTGTTTCAGAAAGGGCTGTTATTTTTTTTTTTTTTAGCGTTACACTAAATTCACTCCCAAAATTAGTTTGGCCTGCACCCAGGAATGAACAAGGACAGTTTGGAGGTTAGAAGCAAGATGGAGTTGGGTAGGTCAGATCCCTTTCACTGTTACAATAAAGGCAGTTTCAATTCCTCTGAGTTTTCCATAGGAAAAGAAAATTCCTTTGGTTTACATATGTGCTTAGGGTTTTATGATTTCACCATAATCATAGGTACACACTGTAATATAATCTTACCCTCCAGGGCTAATACAAAAGTCTAACAGGCACAATAAAAGCAGACAATAAAATTGTCTAACAGAGCAACATAATACAAGAGCCCACAAACCAAAATAAGGTTACTTTTATACATTTTGGTATTTATATTTCTTAAGACTCCCAATTAATTTAAAGTTAAAAATGAGATGTATAAATAGCTTCATGTGTGAATACCTTTATCTGAGTTTTTTCACAATATCTACTATATATCCTAACAGTCTTGGCCTATGCTCATTAGCCGTTTGGTAATATTGACAAAGTTGGTAGAGTCTATTTATGTCTTCTAAATAGATGTGTAAATAAAAAATAGACATACTTTGAAATAGTGTTCAAGAATAGATTTTTTTTTTTCACATTTGTTTAGTTTGATTTCTGGCTGTCTTCTTAAGGATGCAAATACTATATAGCATCAAATACTATAGCATCATTGATTTTTAAAGCCCTGTAGGCTGTTAAAGCCTATGGCAGTTTTCACAAGTAATTGAGCTGTTTCAGCTTGAACCAATCTGATTGTCCTAGCAAATCCTTTGAAGTGAAGTTATGTAAGCAAAAACTGCTCTTCACAGAATACCACATTATAAAAAGCAACATTTTCTTTTCCTCTTGGTCACAGGTAAAAAGCTTAAGAACTTTAAGATAGACTATAGTCATAATACTTTCTGTATATTTGATATGCTGGCTGTTTTATAAATAGTGGTTTTCTTTTGAGGGGAAGGTAGATCTCTAGCTGTAGATCAACAGGCATGGTGATTAGAAGCAGCAGTTTTTATATAACACCCAGGTTCTTCTTCCTTTACTTGATGGACACTCTTGTTTTGAGCAGAAACATATTAAAATTAAATTTAAAGGATCCCAAAACATACCTTAAAAGGTATTTGTATGTGACTTGGAAAAATACATTATTTTTTCTTTGGCAATATTGTAGTTTGATCTGTATTCCAGTTAAACACAAACCACACAATTACAGAAGACTCCTTGAACTTACTTTGAAGGTTAACTCCCTATTCGTTAACCTTTTAAAAATGCTTAAGAAAAATCAACTCACCAAAGGCAGCCTTTGTTAGCAGCATTTTTGCATTGTTATTAAAGTTTAAAGCCTATATTCATTTCCATCTCTTGAAATTTCTATCTATGAAATACTAGTGTTTTTGACATGCTGATATTTTGAAAAATACAATATTTAATAACCAGCTCTTTGAATGTGGGGCCTAATTTCTTCTGTAAGTCATGAAAATGTTCCAGGCTGATTTTGCAACCACATTTTGTTTCCAGCAAAATGTGCAGTGTGAATATTTTTGTAATAATCTAGGAATATTAGCTATTGGTTGGATTAACAGGAATTCATCTGAAAATAGTATAGCACTTCTGAAAATAAAGTACATTTGTACCCATGAGTTTTGAACTTTTATTTTTTAATACATGCTTTTTCAGCAGCAGCAGCAGCCATAGTATCAATGAGGGATTGTGGTATGATGAGGAGAAAATTCTAAATTATTTTAAAGTGCCATGTTATAATAACACATAATGCATTATTTGTGTGATGCCCTAAAATGCTAAATATTGAAAATAAAGAATGACAGCTATATTCATCAACTGCTTTTCCTTGCTACAATCAATTAAAACAGTTTTGGATTCTATAATTCTTTAAGGCATTAGGTCAACATTTATTATTGGTCCTTTTATTGGTATTCTATGGGTTTTTATTTGTATTTTTATAATAAGGATACTGCCATGCTCTGTCTTCAGTTGTTAAGTGCTTATTAAGTTCTTGTTTGTTACTATGTCAAGTAGGAGGGACTATGAACACTTTTAAAATGTTGTCTTTGCCGTTAAAGTGTGAACTATCTACATGAGCACATGTAATTAGTTTAAATGAAAAATAAGATTAAATGCTTAATACATGGGAAACACATTTTCAAGAATTAATATGATTCTTAGGTGAACTGCTTACATTTTCCTAGATTCCTCCTTCTCGCCCACAGTCTTCAAATGAATCTCCAACTCCTTTCTTTTCCACCTTCTAATTGCTCTCAAATCCATTCGTCTTCATTTCCAGATTCACCTTCATCCAGACAACCTACTGATTATCCTAATGGGGCTCTGTCCTAGTCTGTTTTGTGTTGCTATAACAGAATATATGATGCTGGGTAATTTATAAAGATAAAAAGTTTGACTCACAATTCTGCAGGCTGGGAAGTCCAAGATCAGGCAGCCCATCTGGTGAGGGCCTTGTGCCACTTCAACTCATGGCAGAAGGTGGAAGGGGAAATGGGTATGTGCAAGGAGACCAAACATGAGAAGAAACAACTCACTTTTGAAGTAACTAATCCAGTCTTGTGAGAGCAAGAACTCACTCCATGAGATGGCTTTAATCTATTCATGAGAGATCCACTCCCATGACCCAAACACCTCCCACTAGGGCATACCTTTCAACACTGCAACATTGGGAATTGAATTCAACATAAATTTGGGCAGGAACAAACCTCATCCAAACCACAGCAGCCTCCCTTCTCAAAGCTTGCCTACTCCTCTTAGAGCGCTGCTGGAGGACCTTCCCAAACCAAATTATCACTGGTCTCTTATTTTCCTAACAACCTTTTAATGACTTAACACAAAGTCAAAAGCCATGAACATGGCCAAAAAGGCCCTGTGAGATCCAGTCCTTGCCCAACTTTCCAGTCTTTTCTTGTACACTTTCTTCCCAAGAATTCCACATACCTGCCACGTGGAACTACATTCATTGGGTCTCCAAGCTTAACATGCTCCCTTTTACCTTGAAGGTTTTCTGTATGTCTAAAAAAGTATTTGAGTAGTTAATGAATACTGCCACCTTTGCTTAAAGTACCATAATCATCCACCCCTATCAATTGGGTTTGATGTAATTCCCCCCAGGGACTCCAGTGGTTCCTGTAATTTCCCTAATGTAGCATTTATGCATGTTTCAAGTATTTCTTACCCCCACTAAATGATGTGAATAAAAGGACTATATCTGTTTTATTGTTTTTTGTTTGATTTTGTCTTTAGAGCTTACTGAGCTCAAATCTATTATATTTGTACTATTTTATAACCTACGTCAGAGGCAAATGAAATATGTAAGTCCCAATCACCATTACCATGTATCCTTCAAATCTTTTTCTTATGCATTTACATACATATACAGACACATATTCATATATATAAAAAAACAGTATTGTTGTAACTCCTTTACTTCTACCTTAATATTATGTCCTGCAGTGTTTTACATACTATTTGCTTAGAATTATTATTCCATTTTGTAGAGAAATAGTTTTATATTGCATGGATATATCAAAACTTATTTAATCATGCCAATATTGATAAGCAGTTAGGTAGGTTTCAGTTGTCCCTTACTACAAAAAAGTTACAGAAACCCTCCTGTAACAACTTCTTTGTGAACCCAAGAGGATATTTCTGAGGGATGTGGAAGCATTAAGAATGAGAGCACTGGAGGCAGACTACCTGGGTTAATTCAAATCCTGACTCTACTTAATCTCTCTTTACCTAATCTCTGCACTTAGTTTGTTTGCTATAAAATGGGGATTATAAAAATACGGCCTTCCACATAAAGTTTTTTGAGAGTTAAATGAAATAAGATATATAAATCACTTAAGACAATGTCTGGCAAGTATCAAACAATTAGCTGTTATTATTATTCATATATATTCATAGAATATTCTAAGAATATATATTCATAGAATATTCTATGAATATATATGAATGACAACACAAAGTTTACTTAAATTTATTAGATCAATGGATATGTAGATTTATATTTTGGTAGATATTGTCAAAAATTCTTAACTTCTTGAAGTACTTTTTTATCACTCTCACCAACAATGCTTGAGCACTTACTGTATACTATCAACATTCTAGATTATCAATCTTTTTGTTTTTGCATATATATGTGTATAGACATATATGTACATATTTATTTATATTTGTATAGATAATTGCACAGATATATCGGGGGTCCTGCCCCGATAATCACGTAGGTTCTTTTCTATTTTCCTAAGCGTCGACTGGCTTGAGAAATAAAAGGACAGAGTACAAAAGAGAGAAATTTTAAAGCTGGGCGTCCAGGGGAGATATCACACATAGGTAGGATCCGTGATGCCCCACAAGCCACAAAAACCAGCAAGTTTTTATTAGGGAGTTTCAAAAGGGGAGGGAGTATACGAATAGGTGTGGGTGACAGACATCAAGTACTTAACAGGGTAATAGAATATCACAAGGCAAGTGGAGACAGGGCGAGATCACAGGACCACAGGACCAAAGTGAAATTAAAATTGCTAATGAAGTTTTGGCACCATTGTCATTGATAACATCTTATCAGGACACAGGGTTTTGAGATCAACCAGTCTGACCAAAGTTTATTAGGCGGGAATTTCCTCTTCCTAATAAGCCTGGGAGCGCTATGGGAGACTGGAGTTTATTTCACCTCTGCAATCTCGACCATAAGAGACAGGTACGCCCTGGGGGGGCCAGTTCAGAGACCTACCCCTAGGTGCGCATTCTCTTTCTCAGGGACGTTCCATGCTGAGAAAAGGAATTCAGCGATATTTCTCCCATTTGATTTTGAAAGAAGAGAAATATGGCTCTGTTCTGCCGGGCTCACCAGGCGGTCAGAGTTTAAGGTTATCTCTCTTATTCCCTGAACAATTGCTGTTATCCTGTTCTTTTTTCAGGGTGCCCACATTTCATATTGCTCAAACACACATGCTGTACAATTTGTGTAGTTAACGCAATTATTACAGGGTCCTGAGACGATATACATCCTTCTCGGCTGACAGGATTAAGAGATTAAAGCAAAGACAGGCATAGGAAATCACAAGGGTATTGATTGGGGAAGTGATAAGTGTCCATGAAATCTTTACAATTTATGTTTAGAGATTGCAGTAAAGACAGGCATAAGAAATTACAAAAGTATTAATTTGGGGAACTAATAAATGTCCATAAAATCTTCGCAATCCACATTCTTCTGCCATGGCTTCAGCCGGTCCCTCCGTTTGGGGTCCCTGACTTCCCGCAACACAGATAATCTGTTTTTTTTCCCCAATTGCTGGTAGCAATGAACATCTTTTGCAATTTTCTAATGACATTGGGATTTCTTCTGTAAAGAAACTAGTCATCCTTTTTATTCGTATGCTTTGTTCATTTTGCCATTGAATATTTTTGCCTTACTTTTATCTATTCATAGATCTTCATGTATTCTGGTGATAAATTATTTGTCTGTTATATACATTGTCAAGGATTTTCTCTGAGGTTATTACATGTGTGTGGTAATTTGATCGATATACAAAAAGATATTTTAAAAGAATTTAACTGTTGAAGTAAAGTCTATCTTAGCCTTTATGGCTTTTTTGGTTTATACATTGTTAAAACAATCTCCCCCAAGTATAGCACATTTTATGTGCCCCAGAAATATTTGTTAAATGATTTAGGCTTGAGTTGAACAAAATTGATGTTTTGCTTGTTTGTTTGATTTTTAGTAAAGTCAGTGGTCTCTCCGGGCCATAACCATGAACAGAATACCAGAATCAGATATCTTTCCTTATGAAAAGGGGCTTTGTTTGTATACATGGAACAAAAATAAAATTATTAGCTTGACAGTTAAAATTAAAGTTTTAAGTAAATCTATTAATGTGATTATATTACAGTAATTCTTGAATTGTATCTTGAATTGTATTCATGAAATAGAACTAATAAGCAGACGGTATAAATATTATTTGTTGAATATTACAAAAATATTGAATTGAAGATGGGTAGACCATTGCATCCTCATCAACTTTGATTAGCATTTCAACAATTATTTTGAATAATTATGTTCTCAAAATAATTTTATCATAATGAAATCTGGATAGTTTCCAACTATTTCTAAAGTGAATAGAACTTAAGTTCTAGCATATATGTACACATATGTGTATACATACACACACACTATATATATATTTATGCATATGTATATATATATATACACACACACTAGAACTTAAGTTCTATTCACTTTAGAAATAGTTGGAAACTATCCAGATTTCATACATATACACACTATATATATATATTTATACATATATATACACTAGATATCTATATACACTATATTTATATATGTATATATACACCCAGTAGAGATATATATATATATATATATACACACACACACAATATATATATAAATACATATATTTAGATGGAGTCTCACTCTGACGCCAGGCTGGAGAGCAGTGGTGTGATCTCGGCTCACTACAACCTCCACCTCCCGGGTTCAAGCGATTCTCCTGCCTCAGCCTCCCAAGTAGCTGGGACTATAGGCATGCATCACCATGCCCAGCTAATTTTTGTATTTTTAGTAGAGATGGAGTTTCACCATGTTGGCCAGGATGATGTTGATTTCCTGACCTGGTGATCTGCCCACCTTGGCCTCCCAAAGTGCTGGGATTACAGGTGTGAGCCATCATGCCTGGACCTAGTATATGTTGATTCACAGAATAAGTACTACCTTCTAGGGTTCAGATACCATGATCATTTATATATCTTGCTTCTGATTCTCCTTCAAAGAAAACATGGATACCTCTAGTCTAATCATTTTTTTTTGTATATGCAACCAATACAATAGTCTGAAATTTTATATTAATAAATTCTACCCCAATTGGATTGGATGGGTCCTTATTACTTTCCATTACCCTAAACCTGCTGAATTAGTCAAGGTAGGAAATTACAAAATTTTTCAAATTGGTACAAATGATCAAGAACACTTATGAAAAATGCATGGATTTTTGGTCAGTAGTTGGCTGAGTTTTTGTTTGATGTAGGAGTACTACGTCTGAATTAAATATTATTCAAGTACATACGGAGGCTTTATTATAACTCCTTTCATCTTTCAACCTACTCTTCAGAGTACCTCAGTTTTACTAGTTAAATCTAAGGTAACTAAAATTGAATAGCTTAAAATTATATGAGTAATTACACTAAATTTCAATTCTAATTTCTTAACAAAATTGAAGAGATCACTCTGACACTTAGTAGCAGTCATTTATATAATGTTATTGGTGTAGGTGGTTACACATTGCAGATTTCTTATCTCTCATACTCTCAGCTAAGTCCCCCAAATTAGATACTCTGGTGGATTGCATTTGTTTGGATTTATACTCATTGTCTTAGTCTGATTGTGTTGCTATAAAGGAATACCTGATGATGAGTAATTTAAAAAGAAAAAAGGTTTATTTGGCTCACAGCTCTGCAGGCTGTACAAGAAGCATGGCATCAGAATCTGCCTGGCTTCTGATAAGGGGCTCAGGCTGCTTCCACTCACGGTGGAAGGTAAAGGGGAGCCAGCATGTTCAGAGATCTTGTAGGGAAAGAAAGGAAGCAAGAGTGAGGGAGATGGGAAGTGCCAGTTTCCTTTTAACAACTAGCTCTCAGGGAAACTAATTGAGTGAGAACTCAGTCATTACTGCAAGGATGGCACCAAGCCATTCATGAGGGACATACCTTCCTTCACTTCCCATTAGGCCCCTACTTCCAACATTGGGGATCATATTTCAGTATGAGGTTTGGAGTGTCAAATATCCAAACTATAGTACTCATCTTTGCCTGGATTCCAATGTTGAAACACACTCTTCTTTGCCTAAATTCCTATGTTATACTCATTTTTTGGCTATTTTAAATATAATTTGAGTTCACATCTGGAATGACCCAGCTACATATACTCTTAGGAAAGTGATGCAAGAATGGCTTAAAGAATTAAGAAACCCAGTCTTTTCTCTACCAAATAATAATATAAGATGGATAAATTTCTCAGATATGCTAAATTGTCCCTTTAAAATAGTCACTTATAAAAACAAAACAAACAAACAAACATACCACAAACTTTTTTACAGGACATTAAACTCTCAATGACAGATTATCTCAGGACCCTAATAATTTACATTCCCTTGGTAGCCGTTCTTCCTCAGGATATTAATACAAATTATCTAGAAAATAAAAATTCTATACTTATTAGATATCTTTATCAACTGGAATTATGAGTTTGAGAGCATTGCAGTAAATCTTCAATAGGGAAGAATGCTAGACAATGGATCCAAGCTGGGATGAAAAGTTGCATCAGGGAGGCAGGGCTAGGGCTTTAAAAACAGAAGGGGAAACAATTTCTGAAATAAGAAGTTTATTTAACAAATAAGCCTTCTGCCTGATTTTATCAGAAGCACTATTAATGTGGAATTCTTGATGCCTAAAGGCTGGTGCATAACTGCCTTGCTATGAAATATCTGGTGTGAAAGGTCTACTTAAGACACATACACACACGTATACATGATTCGTTAACACATCCTCAGTGTGGTAGGTACTAATTGTATATTAATTGCCTAAAAATGTTTATGTTTTAATTACAGGAAACATTCACCAAAATTAAATGATTGTTATATTTTACAAATTGATTTAACTGGAGTTTCAAAATAATGAAAGACTTATTGTTGGTTACTTCAGTTCAGCAAGTGAATTGTAAATTACATATAATATTTGCACACTGAATTAAGATATATTCTAAGCACTCAGGGACACTGATAAAATGTATCAAACCGGATCACAAGGTCAGGAGTTCCAGACCAGACTGACCAACATGGTCAAACCCTATCTCCACTAAAAATACAAAAATTAGCTGGGCGTGGTGGCACAAGCCTGTAATCCCAGCTACTCAGAAGGCTGAGGCAGTAGAATCGCTTGAACCCTGGAGGCAGGAGTTGCAGTGAGCTGAGATCGCGCCACTGCACTCCAGCCTGGGTGACAGAGTGAGATTCAGTCTCAAAAAAATTAAAAAAAAATTTAAAAATCAAACAGTTAAATGTTTATAATTTATATCGTTGAAAATAAGATAAATGAAGTTAGAATGATACTATTATTATTACTGAAAGGTGTTGTGTCAGAATTGTCATTAGTAAGTGAGCTGTATTATGCCATTTTAACTTTCTAATTGTTTTGTTTTATAAACTTTGCACATTCTTAGTGTAACATCTGTCGTTAACAAAAACAGAGCAATACATTTGAAAATTGTGATCAACTAGGAATTTTGTACAACTTAAAAATTTAGAAAATTCTGTCATTTTAGCATGATTTAATTATGTTTTCAACAAAAATTTTTTATTAAAATTAAGGAATATAGATTACAAGTTCCTAAGTTTTCAATTTTTCAAAGTGAACACAAAATCAAATATAACTAAATATAAAACTAGCTGTCTCAGTCCATTTTCTTTTGCTGTAACACAATACCCGAGAGTGGGTAAATTATAAAGAAATGAAGTTTATTTAGCTCAGGGTTATGGAGATTATGGGAAGTCCAAAAGCATAGTGTTGGCCTCTGTTGAGGGCCTTCTTGCTGCATCATAGCATGGCAGAGGGCAAGGGAATGCTCGTCAGCTCAGGTCTCTTTTCTTCTTCTTTTGCCCCAAGTCCCAGTGTGGGGGTCTTACCCTGATGACTTTATCTAATCATAGTTACCTCCCAAAGGCCCCCCTCCAATCAGCATATAAATTTGTGGATTAATTTTCCAACACATGAAATTTGGGTGACACATTTAACACATTCAGCCTTTGCCTATGTTATATAAACAACAGTGAAAGGAATGGAGCTTTGACTTGAAAATACAGGTGGGCCAGGTGCGGTGGCTGATGCCTGTAATCCCAGCACTTTGGGAGGCCAAGGCAGGCAGATCACTTGAGGTCAGGAATTCAAGAGCAGCCTGGCCAACATGGTGAAACCCCGACTCTACTAAAAATACAAAAGTTAGCTGGGCGTGGTGGTATGCACCTGTAGTCCCAGCTACTCAGGAGGCTGAGGCAGGAGAATCTCTTGAACCTGGGAGGCAGAGGTTGCAGTAAGCTGAGACTGTGCCACTGTACTCCAGCGTGAGTGACAAAGCGAGACATCTCAAAAAAAAAAAAAAAAGAAGAATGGTGTAGGGTTTTTACTAAAAGGAGCTCTTATGAGGAAGAGCTTAGACATTTGTACAGATTGAGAAGATAAGAAAATAGATACAATTTTAAATTCTAGATCAATAAGCTTTCCAGAAAATGTTGTATTTGGAATTGATTTTTAGTGAAGTAAGCTACAAATTGAGTAATATCTAGAAATATTCAAAGGCTAGATGTTAATCTTTTAGCGATGTTCTAGTGAGAATTGAATAAGAAGCTGGATTTGATTTCTTATCCAAACTTTCTAACTCTAAAATTCTACCATCATAGAAACTTATATATCAATGAATAAAATCACATTATATTTTTTCTAATAGACTATATTAAAATGGAAAGAAAATGGATTTCGACTCAGCACGAGAATCTTCTAATAAAAAGCTTTTCAACCATGGGACAGGAATCTTTGAAAGAAGGCAGCTATACATCCCTGTTTCCCTGGGACTCCTGGTTTATGCTTGTTTCTGGAGATAATGATATATAGCTCCTCCATTCACTCACCACAGTGTCCTGATTTTTGAACAATAAATTACATAGTCATTCTACTTATAAGGCATTGAGCACACTGACCCTGGAGGTAACTCTCTCTAGAATGGACTAAGTGGACTGTCAAGGATAACAATCATTCTGACATTGAACAGGACATAGACTCTTATTCATCCAGATTCTTGTCCTACCAAAATCTAAAAAAAAAAAAAATTATATAAGTCATTTAGGCTTTTGCAGACTATCAGTTTGTAGATAACTGCTCTACCTCAATAAATTTCTTGATACACAAGACAAATGCCTTTCTTTAAAATACTACCCAAAAAGAGGTAATTAATTAAAAATACGCTATCTCTTTGGAGATAAAATTATATCACTGAGTTTTGAAATTTTTTTGGAAATGTATTTGCTCTCATTTTCTTATTAATTTGTGTGATTGATTATCCCTGGCTTTATGATAATAAGAAGTCAAGTTCTAAATGGAATACTAATATTTCTAAGTTTAAAGTTTGTGATACCTCAAAGTATCTGCAAACATTTCTACAGGAATTTAAATATTCCAAAACGCCTTAAAAAACTTAATGAATATTACAATGCAATTTAGTTCATGATATACCATTAGAAAGAAGGAAGGAGTGATGAATTAGTAATTTCACAGATTAAACCACAGGATGTGGTAGCTTAAAGAAATTTAGAAATTATTAGATTAGTCTGGGTGCAGTGGTTCACGCCTGTAATCCCAGCACTTTGGGAGGCTGAGGCAAGTGCATCACCTGAGGTCAGGAGTTCGAGACTAACCTGGCCAACATAGTAAAACCCCATCTCTACTAAAATACAAAAATTAGCCAGGCATGGTGGCATACGCCTGTAATCCCAGCTACTTGGGAAGCTGAGGCAGGAGAATTGCTTGAACCCAGGAGGCAGAGGTTGAAGTGAGCCAAGATTGCACCATTCCACTCCAGCCTGGATGACAGAATGAAACTCCATTTCAAAAAAAAAAAAAAAATCGTTAGATTAAAATATGATCTGAAAAACAGAAAACGGCCAAGATTAGTTGTTTCAGTTATTCATGGAATCACCCAATGGTTAAACATGGTTGTACATGCCTCTACATTTTGTCTGTATTTTAAGTATACACACGCGCGCGCACACACACGCACACACATATATATACAAATATATATACACACATATGTATACAGAGAGCATATGATAATCATCCAATGAACTGGTAAGTAAAGACTAATTGAATATTCATTGTACTGGTAAAGTTCAAAATGAAGGCTAAATAGAGCTATTTCTTTTCACCACAGTTTTTGTTTACTTAAGTGCAAGTGAGGTACATTAAGAAAATAAAAACTCAACGGAAACCACACATAACCCACGTTAATTGTTTATATTTAAACTTATCTGTGTAAAGTATGGGGAAATTAAGAAAATAGAATAGGAATCTGAGAAGTTAAAAGTACATAAAATAAATGTATGCGGACATTTGAACAACAGGAGCTTTTGTTTCACATTTAAAAGCATAGGGAAAATGAATACTAATACATAATTCAAACAAATGAGTATACAAATTACTGAACAATTCTATAGTGAATGTTACTGGAAGAATTGGCTAGCATTCCTTTTGATCAATCCTTAATATAGGCCAAGTGTAGTGGCTTACGCCTGTAATCCCAGCATTTTGGGAGGCCGAGGTGGGTGGATCACTTGAGGTCATCAGTAAAAGACCAGCCTGGGCAACGTGGTGAAACCCCATCTCTACTAAACATAAAAAATTAGCTGGGCATGGTGGTATGTGCCTGTAATCCCAGCTACTTGGGAAGCTGAGGCAGGAGAATCGCTTGAACCCAGGAGGCAGAAGTCGCAGTGAGCCGAGATCACACCACTGCACTCCAGCCTGGGTGACAAAGCAAGACTCTGAAAAAAAAAAAAAGAAAAATATTTCTTAATAATGTGATCCCATTTTAACTGAAATGTTGCTTTGATGATACTTTATTCTAAAAATATCAGTTAAATTGAGCATTAGTTGAACAATAAGCATTATATCGAACTAGAAATATTACTCTTTTCATTCAGTAACATATTTTGATTTATTTTGTTTGTAGTAGTTATTTTTTCATCATTTTTATATACAGTAATTTAAACTTTCACTTCATAAAAAATGTAATCTTATTTGACTTCTTAGTTATAGCAGACATAAAAGAAAAACTAGAAACACTAAGTGCTGACATATATATACATATCCCTATATATTATGTATATTATGCATATATATATCCCTCATATATCATGAGTCCTAATTTTGAGTAACTTATGTAATAACAGACTATTATTTCTATGGATACTGTGGATCTGACTCTTAAAAAATGGACATTTTTAAGGGTAGCTATTTACCAAGATGAGGTTTTTCTCTGCCAAATGATTAAGTGTACAATCAGAACATATTTATCCTTTAAAGTTAAAGTTAATGGCTTACCAATCTAGAATCTGCACCTTTAACAATGAAAATATAATTTCTTCATTGTCAAGGGAGAATAAGGAAACTTGGAAGTCAGTATTAAAGAGCAAAAGAACCACCTCCTAAGACATTACATTTACTAAGTTCTATTTTCTTCCATTATGCTTTCCCATGTTTAGAGTCCTTATGTATTATTAACATGGAAGTAAACAGAGAAAGTAAGCAATTAATTGATGGGCTTCTTATCAGCCTTCTGAGTATAAATTCAGTAGGGATGTTGCCCAGAAATGTTTATTTTTGTTAGGGGCTACATTGTGCTCACAGAAGTCTTTTTTTCCACTGCTGTCAGTAAAGTAGTAAAGGGTGGTGGCTGTGTGGGAAAAATTTCCAATGCATGATGTACATGAACAATAGCATAAAAGTTGTGTTTTATTGTAGAGTCACTGATGTCCTCCATGACTGACCTTCTCCATTCTCACAGTCCCAGGCCTTCTTAATCATCTTTCAGGGATCACTCTAGCCTGCCTTACGCATGGACCAGAAAGGCTGAAGAAGGCTCTTTCTTTTTTCTACTTTCAGATGCCATCTTATTCTGGTATTGACAGCCAGATCTTTCTCTGTATAAACCTAATCATCCAAAATGCTAATTGACAATGAACTTTATCCCAAATCAGACTCCTAGGGACAGTAACATTGAAAAGATCTTCTTTTCACCTTGTAGTAACTTTTCCAATAAGAATTACTTGATATTCAGATTTTTTATTTTCTCTGGTATTTATTGGCCTCATTCTGGAAAATCCTCAAATATAGGTGGGAAAGGCAATACACAGGAACCATCTTGGGAAATGTGTTAGCAACTGGCATCACAAGGGTACTTTGCTGAGTTGCCCAGGAAAATGGAAAGATGAGAGGGGATACAAGGATCTGCAGTAGGCAGTTAAGGGAAAGTAGAACAGGGAGGAGTAGAGGTACAGGAGGAAAAAAAGACCATGGTGTTGTAATTCAGGGGTCAGCCTGGCTACATCATGATGGACACTAAAACTAGATGAACTAAGATTTGGAACAATAGTAGCTGTCTTTCACAGGTGGAGCTTTGGTCATGTGACTCATGGTCTTTCTTTCTCCTATCCTATAATCTTTGTCAAGTGATCCCTATATTCCCGTAGCTGCTTTCAATGAATTGCATTCTACCATCTTTTAAAAATGCAATTTATTTGAATATAACCAATAACTGCTATTCCTTTTCATCCCTTTGTCTGTAAATTAAGACTTTAACAGAAAAAAAATTTAACTTTTTTGATCAAGCATGTATTAATACAGAAATAAAGTCATAATTCAATACTAGCAATGTAACCTTGGGCAAATTACCTAATATCTTTACACTCTAGTTTCTACCTCTGCAAAGTAGGGATTTTAATATTTACCACAGAGAACATTTGTGAGTATTAATGAAATAAAGTATGTAAAGATATTGAAACTGTATCTGAGACACACTAAAGACTTACTGAATTGTAAATAATATATTAAAAATATCTGGAGAAAATAAGGAAGCACTGGCTAAGGATCAAATATTTGATATATGTGTGTATATCGTATTATGTTTAAAAGCCATTATTTAAAATGTCATTAAGTAACATATATGTTACATTTTTGTGCATAATAAAATGACACATTCATTTATATAAGCATATATTTCTGGATTTCTTTAAGGTGATGTTTCTTAACCTGGGGCAGGGATAACAAACTGAAAATCTGATAAAGTCTGTGAAATTATTCCTAGGTATATACATATTTGCCCAACTTGATTTACACAAATTTGGCATTCATGGAAGCTTTGGTTCCCATTTATGGAATTCACAGGAGTCTAAGACCAAAGGCCTAGGATTCTAAAGGCAAGAAAGTAACTTGGAAATTTTGAGTTTGAGTTTACTTTCTAAAATATGTACTTTTTTTTTTTTTTTTTTTTTTTTTTTTTTGGTATTCTGGGATACTGACCTAACCTCACAGGCATTAAATATTTTCATTTAAATTGGCAGTTGTAAAGGATTATTTCTAATTCCAACTTCACCTTCTATATTCTTATGAAATAACTAGCTTCTCCAATCCTTTTGAAATACAAGACCATTTTCTCCCACTTGATCATGCTGGTATGAGTGGGATGATTTAGCAGCACTCACTAAAGAGGTGCATCTTCCTCTGACTCTGGCCTTTTAAACTGGGACATGGCACTAGGAGCAAGAGCCAAAAGTAGAAAAGACAAGAGGCTTGCTCACAGAGACTAAAAGGACAATTGAATAAGGATGTAACTGTAAACTACATATCAGTGGCAGCCTTGGTTTGAAGGCGTCTGACTCAGAGTGGGAAACAGCTTTTAAGTGTGTTAATATCATTTTGTTTATATTTGACTTTTAGTCCTTTGTATTTTTAATCCCTGACTCTGTCTTCAAAACTAGTGGTAGTCAGGTTGTGTTGTTTGTCTTGGTTCTAGTTTTCTCTTACTATATAACAAATTACCCCAAAACTTAGTGGCTTAAAATAACATTTTATTATATGGCAGGATTCTGTGGGTAAGGAGCTTAGGCTGGACTCGACTGGATGATTTCTCTCCCGAAGCCATTGACTAAAGTCCCTCAGTGGTATTCAGCTGGCAAATGGGCTGTTCTGCAGGATCCAAGATGGCTTTACTTACATGTCTGGCATTTTGATGTGACGGCTGGAAGACTTGGCTGACCTAGAATGGTCAACTGAAATGTTTATCTGTGACTTCTCCAGAATAGTAATCTCGGGGTACTCAGATAACTTTAAAGGAACCTGGCTTCCCCTAGAGCAAATGTTTCAAGGGGCCTACACAGGAGCACAAGAATTCTTTTGAGCTCATCTCAGAAATTCTAAAATGACTCAGATTCAAGGAGATGGATTATAAACGCCATGTTTCAAAGGAAGGAGTAGCAGCTGAGCATAATGACTTCTGCCTGTCATCCTAGATACTTGAGAGGCTGAGGCAGGAGGATTCCCGGAGCTCAGGAGCTTGAGGCTACAGTGAGCTGTAATTGTGCCATTGCACCTCACTGCCTAGTGAGATCCTGTCTTTAAAAAATAAAAAAGGAGAGGAGTAGCAAAGTATTTGTGTCCATCTTTAACCTACCACAGTTTTTCCCCCTAAACTTTGAGTAAAGAGGGTTGAGTTCTCAGTTTATTGCACATTAACATTTTGGTCCCTAAATAGCTTATTTATTTGTTTGCTTTATCCCCCATTATAGACAACTATTGCATTTTGTTTAATATGTATATTTTATTTGAATGTTTTACTGAAAAATGTGTATTGTTTGGGGTTGATTTATTTTGGATTAGCATGAATGGCATTGAGTTATGTATCTTACTACTCTTCTTTTTATCATACAACTTTACGTGGTTAAAATTAATTCCTTGTTTCTAAGTGTGCATCTTTGTGTTGCAAAGTCCTCAGTAGTGGGAATCCACTGCATTTTAACTATTCACCCTTCCAGTGATAGTTACCCAGAGTATCTCCAACTTCCTGTTACCATTAGTTTCAACAAATAACATCAATAATTGTCTGTGTTCAGGCACTATTCTAGGTAAAAGCAGCATACGTATTCTTATGGACATATGTCCATAAGAATGGGGAAGGAGGATTTCTTTCTATGAGCAAAAGTTCTGAGTCATAGAAGTTTGTCAGACGGTTTTGCAGCATCCCAGCAAGTATTATCTCCCAGGTGCCAATTAACTTTGTCCATGGTGTTTATTTTATTAAACAAGATTCATTTTAAAAAATTTTAAATACCCATCCTATTTTGGATATATAATACATTCACATGATTCCAAAGTAAAAACAATATAGCAAGGTCAACATTTAGAAATCTTAGTCCCATCCTATCTCTACCTACTCCACTCTTTTCCCACACCTTGTATTCATTTCTTCTCTATTGTTCCAATGAGAATTCCTCGATTTTGTTGAAATTGATTTTTTTTTGTCTTTTGGTTTATGCTCTTGAATTTTTTTTAGAACATATTTTTAGGGTTTTTAAATTATTTTAACATTTTGGTTCTTCGTCTTTTTATTATTTTATTGTCTTTAATAGTCTCAATTAAGTCTTGTTTCTAATAATTTTAAAATTACATGCAAAGGGTATAATTTTGTTTTATTATTTTTTACTAGATAAAATCTCAACTTTGTCCACTGGAGGATATTCAGCAATACAACATGTGATGATTTCGTATATTTATATTGTGATATATTTAACTTACTAATTTTGAGAAGCTTCTTGTGAATTAGTTGGCAAATGCTACCTCCACATCTTTTATGAAGCTTTGGTCCATGGGGATAGGGTAGGTTGATTTGCATGAGGAGTCCATGGTTTTCCTGAAAAGAAGGAATCATTTCTCTCCAAGTTTCAGGTTTAAAGTGTTAAATTAGGGTAGCTACAAGGAAAGTAGGTTGCAGAGAAAATAGGGAGAACCAGTGAGCCAGTCTTGCCTCTAAATCAGAAAAGTGGAAATAGAAAGAGTGGTCCTGGTGCACAGAGCAAAAGATGAGGTCACTGATTATAACTGAGAGCCTCCAGGACCAGATGCTCACCGGCAGGAGTGTGGTTGCTTGGCACCAGCCAGTGAGTCTATTTATAATAGGTGGAAATTCTTCTGCCTCACCACAGTGGTCTGGAGATGGTCCTGAGAAGCTCCAGAAGTAGTATGTGTTTTTCAGTGAAGAGACGCAACCTTATTTGTAAGATGTCTCACCCTGTTAATAAGTTTGCCTTGTTTTCTTTTGTTTGTTCATGGGAGACCCAGCCTTCATTCTTCCCTGAGCTCTGCATGCAGTGGCACTGTTTCACTGTAGCTGGAATCTCTATCATCTCATCTCCATGAGGCCAAACCTTGGGGCATCCTAGTTCCCTGTGTGAGTGGCTCAGTGAGAAAGTAAAAAAAAAAAATGCTTCATATTAGAGAGCCGGGGCCAGTTTGAACAGGAACATCCTTATCCCTGAACCTAAACCTATGCCTAAAAAATGATGAGGCCCTCCTCACAGGAGAGGAAAATACCACCTGTTTTCATGGTCATCCCAAACAGAAAACTTTGCTTCTGTTCTCAATGTGAAATGATTATTCAAAGCCATCTTAAGCTCTGTTACCAGAATTCTCCACCACTTCCACATTAAAGGAACTAGATCGGGTTCCTCCAGATTAAGGCCCTCAAATACACTAGAATATGTTAAGGTAAATGAGGTGAGGCCTTGGAATGGCATAGATCTTGCTACTACTGCTACTGGGGTACTACAATCTCGGAACTGAGTTATATCATTTGTACTTGTACTTTTTACTTATATTAATCATGTGTCCCCCTAATTATAGGTATTTAGATTTTTCTTTTAACCTTTTTTCTTTTTTTAAATTTTAATTATTGTGGATACATAATAATTGTATACTTTGATGGGGTACGTGTGATGCTTTAGTATAGTCATATAATGTATGTCACAAACAAGAGTAATTGAGGCATCCATCACCTCATGCATTGTAACTCATTTTTAAAACTAGATACTTTTATTTAATTATATATAATCAAGCATGTATTTCATTTTTTAATTTTACTCTTTCAATATGGTATATAACTAGCTTAGGCATATAGAGATCAGCTGTGAGGGTAACTCATTCACTAATTCTGGGTTCTCACATTAGCAAAATGAGCACCACTTGGGAACTTATTAGACCCACACTCCGAGGGCGGGGCCCAGGAAGCTGTGTTTAATAAGCCCACCAGGTGATTCTACATGCTCTAAATTTGGAGAACCACTGTGCTCATCCCCTTGTATTCAGTATGTGTTGTCATCATCTGTGCTTATTAGTCAGGCACAGTCTAAGGCCCCATTCCAGGCCCACAGCATCAGAATCTGCATTTTAACAAGATCTCTGGTGATTCTTGTGGACAGTTGAGAAAAACTAGTCTGATAAAAATTGCTTGTTCTCATTTTTATCTGCTCTGGTTGGCCCTGTCTGGTGTTGCCCTTCTGGCCTCTGTAATAAATGCACAGGTTTTTCCAACATTGAATCCTTTAATTCTAAAATCACTGAGCTTCAAAATATGATTACTTTATATAGAAGGGGATTTCTGCAAAAAAAAAAAAAAAATACAAGTTAAATCTGAATGTCAGATCAACAATAAATAATATTTTAATGTATATATGTTTCATGTGACATTTGATACTTGGAACATAGTTGTACAAATAAATTATTACTTGTTGATGTGAAATCCAAATTTAACTGGGAATTCTGTATTTTTATTTGCTACATCTGGAAATTCTACATATATATATTAATTATCTCCTAGGAGAACCAGTAATTTCTGCCAACATCAATATGAATATTTGCTAAAACAGCCCTGTCTTGTTACATAACAATTTTTCCGTTCCTTTGGAAAAAAATGGAATCTGAAATTCTGATCTCTACTTCTAATAAGCCAGAATCTATATCCCTTTTTATACTTACAAAAGATAAAATCGAGCTTAGCCTTATTATCTTAAATAAGAACTGACCTAAGAATCAAAATAGTCTGCTATCTGAAGCTAGTAAGAGGGAAGGACAAAAACAAAAATCATTTTTGAGAAGCATTGTCTAACACATAAAAATTAGTATCAACTAATTCTCTGCAGTAAGTTAAATTTTTCAGGTGTTGAGGTCACATTTTACAACTAAGTCATTTTGGTTCGTCCATCAGGAGTTCCTATGGATGCAAATTTGATACTTTCTGCTGGATTATTTCTTAGAGGTCTGATATGGTTAGGCTTTGTCTCCCCAACCCAGATCTCATCTTGAATTGAAATCCCTATAATCCCCACAGGTCAAGGAAGGGACCAGGTGGAGGTAATTGAATCATGGGGCAGTTTCCCCCATGCTGTTCTCACTATCACTATCCCATAATAGTGAGTGAGATCTCACGAGATCTGACGGTTTTATAAGGGGCTCTTCCTCCTTCGTTCCTTTGTTCGGCATTTCTCCTTCCTGTCGCCTTGTGAAGGTCGCCTTTGCCTTCCACCATGGTTGAAAGTTTCCTGAGGTGTGCCCAGAATGCTGAACTGTGAGTCAACTAAACCTCCCTCCTTTGCAAATACCCAGTCTCAGGTAGTTATTTATAGTAGTATGGAAACAGACTAATATAAGGTCCCTCTGGTCTTGGAGGTTAACTGGTAACACCTGTTCTGACTTATTGTTTTTAAGTTAAAATTGTCTGCTATGATCCAAGTTGGGGATTTGCAGGTTAACACAGGTTTGGTGACAGAGGGGAACTAATTCACTTCCCTAAAGAAACCTCTTGTTGGTCATCCTTGGGCCCAACTCTATGTAGATATGAAGTGCACTTTTATTTGGATGGAGTACTCTTTAATTTTAATAATACATTCTGAAGCCTGTCCTGCTTATCTGGTTTCCAGAACTTACATAAGTGACCTTAATCAACAATATCACATTACTGCAATTTAAACTCTTACACAGGAATACTACTGATACATGCTTTGTATTTTCTACCAAAAGTCTTACAGAAGACAATTTAAGGGATACACTGCTAACAATGTACTCCTGTACATTTAAAGACAATCATTGGATCAAATTAGAATACCAGAGAGCTGTAAATTTGATATTACCTTGGAAGAATCTTCCTTTCTAAATTAGCTTTTTAAGTTTTCCCTTCAAATTTTATCAATTGTCATACAAGATATAATTTCATACATTTTGATTTTCACTTTATATTTTGTTAACCTCACTCTCCTATTTTATACACTTGTATTTGTTATATTTTTAAAAGGAGCATAGTATATAGCACTTCTGTTTTTTTATTATAAAAACATTGATATGATAAAATGCAGTTTAAAGAATTACACGAAAATGAATATCTTTGTCCCCAGCATGCTGTTTTAAAAACTAGGTACTGATTGTACCTTAAAAGCACCTTTTCTGCATCTTAATTGTATCATGTTGATCATCCTGCTGCTAGGGTTAAGTGCTATCTTGAAGATTGTAATAAACTTTCTTTTGCTTTCTTTCCTTATTGAGTTTATCACACATATGTTTGCTTGCTTTTGATCTTTTATATAACTGGACTTTATATTGCACTGAGATTTATTTTTTGCTCAACATTGTTTTTGATACTCATCCACACTGATTCATTTTCACTGGCATATAATGTTCTATGGTGTTACGGTATCATAATTTATTTTTCCCTGCTGCCAATTATGGATATTTGCATTGTCTCAAACTATATGTTATTGTAAATGATGCTGCTGTGATCATTATTTTTCATGTTTTCTGGTGCATAGCTACCAGAGATTCTCTGGGGCTTGGTACTGAAAGTGTGCGGTCCAGGGACTAGCAACATCAGCATCACCTGGATCTTGTTAAAAAATGCTCCACCCTACATCTACTGAATCAAAATCTGTATTTCAACCAATCATTCCACGGCATATACCTACAGGTAGAATTGCTGAACATGTTTGATTTCACAAGATAATGCCCAGTGTTTTTCTAAAGTTGTGCCAACATTACAACCCACAAAGTCCTCCTTGCTCCAACATTTTCTCCCACAGTGGCATTCTCAGGCTTTAAAAGTGTAATGTGAAAATGAGAAGATGATCTTGTTAAAAATGTTTGTATCAATTCTGTCTGTAAATGCAATTGATGTGCTTCTGTGCAGCCATCTTGTTCATGACATTAAGCATCAATTATTTTTCAGACCATCAATATTTCTTCCTCTTAAAAGACTGCTCACAATTTCGTTCATGTTTTATTTGTATTTTATCTTTTCCTTATTGACCTTAAGGTATTCTATATACTTTGTACTACTACTTTGTTGGCTTATAGATGTTGAAAGTGTTTTTACCCAGTTTGTGGTTTGCAATTTGGTTCCTTTTTTCTTTTTGTTGAGATGAATCTAGCTCTGTCACCCAGGCTAGAGTGCAATGGCGCAATCTCGGCTCACTACAACCTCTGCCTCCCTGGTTCAAGAGATTCTCCTGCCTCCACCTCCCAAGTAGTTGGGACTACAGGTGCTTGCCACAATGCCAGGCTAATTTTTGTATTAGTAGAGACAGGGTTTCACCATATTGGTCAGGCTGGTCTTGAACTCCTGACCTCAGGTGATCTACCCGCCTCGGCCTCCCAAAGTGCTGGGATTACAGGCGTAAGCCACCATGCCCAGCCTGAAATTTTATTCTTTATGATGTTGTTGATTAAAGTTATTTTTAAAACATAGTCAAATTTATCAGTTTTTTACGTGGTTATCAGTGTTTTGTGCTTTGCTTTTGCCAGTTCGGTTTCTCTGGACATCTAGTTTTACACATTTTGGAAACAGAAGACATGGTGAATTTCTTATACTGCAACCCACTTCATATCCCAGCAGCTATAGTTGGGATGTTTGTCCCCTCAAACTTCATCTTGAAATTTGATCCCAGTGTTGGAGGTAGAGCCTAATGGGAGGTGTTTGGGTCATGGGGGTGTATCCCTCATGAATGGATGAAATGTCCTTCCTAGGGGAGGGGTGTGAGTGAGTTCTCACTCTGTTAGTTCCTGAGAGAGCTGGTTGTTAAAAAAAAGCCCTGGCACCACACCTCTGCCTCTTTCCTTCTTTCTCTCTCTCCTGTGATCTCTGTGCAGAATGGCTCCCTTTCACCTTCTGCCATGGTTGAAAACAGCCTGAGGCCCTCACCAGAAATAGATTCTGGTGTAATGCCTTCCTACAGCCCACAGAACCATGAGCCAAGTAAACCTCTTTTCTTTGTAAATTACCTGGCCTCAGGTATTTCTTTATAAAAATATTAAATAGACTAAGACATCAGCCAATTAGTTCCCAGTAGAAGTACTATACACACAAGGAAATAATAGCCAAATGGGAAATATCACCTTATGGTAGCCAGGCAGATGATATGCACCCATCCTCAAAGCAAGGAGACACAATCTCATCTAGGAACCCAGGCTAGTAAATTTTAAAAATGCATTTTAAATACAGAGAGAATGACCAGCACATGTTTTCTAACCACAAGGGAGCAGCAAGTGGTGGAGGGGCTAAAGCCTCTATTCCTGATTGTCGAGTCCAGGAAATCCATTCGTTAGTATAACACCCTCAATGAATGTTTGGGAACTGAGACCAGTCAAATTTGCAGTGCCTTCTTCCACAGCCAGGGAACGAGAGAACCACAAAGGCAATGAAACAAATATAAGTGTTCTCATGTTCCTTTACCTGTTGGCCAAAGCTAAATATGGTAAGACAGACAGATAGTAATCACCTTGCTCCCTAATTTATATACAGCTGATTTCTCTTTTCTCTCTTAACTGACGAGGCTGTGTGGTTAACTAAGAGAAGCTTCTCTGATTCCCAGCTTGATAATGCTCCTCCCCTGCTCCTTCTGATTATCCAGGGACCAGTGATTTGGCCATTCAGCACTTGCTTCCAGAAATCTCTGAAACAGATCTTAATAGGATATTAACATTTCACTCAGACCACGCTACACCATGGATCAAAAATTCATAGTTCTAAACCCAAGTTTACAGTGGGTTCCATTATGCTGTCTAATATAGTGAACCTGAAACTGCACCAGTTCAAATAACAAAATGAATAATGTTCTAAATTTAAACAACATAACCCTTCCTCACATTAATAAGTTTCTACTGACTGTTCTAAAATTCCCTTTGATATCATGTAAATTCAAAGGAATTGTAGTACAACTTAATTTTCATTCACAATTTATGATTTCCCTAGTCTCAGCTGGAAGAGTGATAAGGACAAAAGATATAGGAGTAAACTTGAAGTAATTAATATGCCTGGACACTGTTTTGTATGTTTATAAACATTATGAGGACTTTAAAACTTACAGCTCATTATACATATTCCCTTTATAATATCCCCTTTAAAATATTGTGCCATATTATTAAAATGCTATGCAAAATAAAAATTTAATCAAGGCAGTGGCTATACATGAGATAAAAGTAATACAAGCTTTAGAGAAGGGGGAAATATGTGGCAACAAGCTGAAAAGATTATCGTCTGAAATAATCTCCACTAAAAAAAATCTATTCAGTAACTACATTTTTTTTTAACTGTTCCCCTATGTCTATTAAAAGCACTCTTCATTGCAAGTAACAAGCTGCCTGGTTTGGAGTGTGGTAGAATTATAGCTCACTGCAACCTCCAACTCCTGAGCTCAAGCCATCTTCCCACCTCAGCCTCTCCAGTAGCTGGCATCACAGGTATATGCCACCATGCCCACACAATTTTTTTTTTTTAAAATGTAGAGACTGGGTCTCGCCATGTTGCTCAGGCTGGTCTCAAACTCTTAGCCACAAGTTCTACCTTAGCCTTCCAAAGTGCTAGGATGACAGGTGTGAGGCACTGTGCCTGTCATGAAATTTTCATGAAAATAAATTTCTGGGGAGTTAGTTCAGAAGAAGGTAAAGCTATCTAATTTTGACAAGGTAATGTTAATATACTATTTTATGTAGTTTTGATATGTGAGTTTATTAATAACCAGGATACATTACATGTGGGCATCTGTCTCAGAGTAGTGAGTACTAATTTTAAATGACTTTTTAAACTTTTTTTTTTCTTCACAACCCCATATATCTAGCTCTTGGAATAAGCTGATAGCCACTTCTTGCTACAGAAATAGAAAACTGTAAATGTGTTATTTGTGAAAGACACAAGAGCTCTGGAAGCAAATGCCCAAGGCAGTCTTTATTAAGGAATAAATTCATTTGACTGGTTTGAATAATTTGAATAGCAATGTGCTGTCTCCACGTGATCTATTTCAGGCTTTAATGCTGTTGTACTGGGTTGAATAATTTACAGAAAACATTTGAAGCTATTAGCTCTGGCATTCAAAATACCATGCTTCTCATACATGGATAGCAATCCAGACACACTTAGCCTCTGTATCTTTATATACCCTTATGACCTTGTCTTTTATCTCAAAAAAGTAAAAAGGAAAAACTGGAGGAGAAAAGAATTGAGGTTGTCCTTGAGTACATGTGTTTTATAAGAGACAGAGAGATTGTGTTTTCTACCTCTGCTGAGCCTAAAAATAACAAACATAAATGCTGACCTTGAGGCCAGAATGTTCAAAGCTTGGTTTTTACAAGAGTTCCCTAGTTTTGATAAATTCTTGAATCTCAGTGAGTCTCCTCAGCAACATCTGTAAAATGGGAACTGATTCTGCCCCTTGCTATCCCACAAAAAAAAATTGAGTATCTAACCAGGTAAGATGTTAAAAAGACATGATGGGTGGTCTATAAAGCCCTCCTGCATGGTTTAAAATGAAATTAAAAAAATAATATTCTTTATGGGACCCATTTGTCTACACACTGAATGCTGAAACCACAAGTTGAGGAACCTCTTTATAAGACACCTACCTCTTCTAGTTTTTCACCCAGCAACAAATCTCTCCAGAACATGAATCTGTCTTCCGGCTATGTGAGCTGGTTGCCCTGTTTACAAACTTGCCAGTAGCTGTGGCCAGTGCCTCCTCTTTCCCAGAGAAATGTTACTGATTGAGCAAAGTTATGAAATGATATTTAACTCAATCCTAAAGGCAAATGCTGAAAAGCCATCAGTTTTCTTATGTGATAAAAGCAAATGAATGAAGAATAAGAAATCTATCTTCTCATGTACATATTTTCACTACTTTCAGTTATCTGAATGTTTTGTCGTAGAAACACAAAAAACCCATAGGTGTATGCCTCTTGGAAGCTTCCCTACACATCATATCTCCTTTTCCTAATTTTTCCTAAGTAGAATTAATCACTTCATTCTCAGTGTTTCTGGAGAATGCTTCTGTAGAGTTACCTTGGTTTTCAAATGTCACATGGCTTTAGAATGACCTTTTGATGAGCCTACCTTCCCCCCAATTAAGGAATGATTTCTAGGAGCCCCATCTTTTTCTTTCTGTATTGCCAGGACCTCCTTAGCCCTGCACCTGTGACTCAGTAGAGCCTAAGGACACCTAGAGGTTAGAAAATAAATACAAGAATTTTCAGTGATTATCACTGATATTGGAGTTATAGTTGTATTCGAAACTATATATAAATGTATACATATATGTAAAAAATACATAAATGTTTTTCTAAGTAGAGACATGTTTTATAAAAGAAATATGAATTATTAAAATAGTTAAATATTTTATTGATTATACAAAGTGATTCTGTAGCCAGAGATTCTAGTCCTGCGTTAAAGAACATGTATAACTCTTTTATCTAGAAAGCTTTATTCTTTGAAAGTAGGAAACTCAATTACATTATTGGGTTTGAAATAATGATGTTTCTCATTCGCCATTTGTTGAACAAAATAATTGATGAAAGCAAAAACAAATTGCACATCTTCAATTGTGTAAAACATTTTCAATGACTTGTCTTTCCCCTATTTTATATTAATTTTTAATTCACTTGAAATAGCAATGAATTCTTTATACCTGTTTATAAAAATGGTGAAAATGTTTCAAAATATCAGTTGGGCAATGACTAATAGCAATTATAAATGCACAGCTCTTGCTATTGTAAAGGGAGTTGGCAGCTTATCCCTCCTCCTAGACAAATTAAAATGATGACTATTTCTCCCTGTTAAGAGAAAATGTAGTAGTTCTACTAAATCTGCAAGTGGCAGCTCGTGCTTCATTTGAGACTAGGCTTTTGTTTTTAACAAATGAAAATAATCCAGTGTCTTTGCTTGGATACTAATCGTGGAAGATAATGTCAAACTGGCCTATTTCTACAATTGTCGTAACTTGCAAAGCTTCACAGACAGCTGAGTTCATTATGTTGAAGTTGTCAATCACACAGGCAGTCGTTTATATTCCTTTTGAACTCTGTTATGTTACCTCATGGATGACTTTTTTTCTCTTCTCTTTTATATGATGTTAAAACATTCCATTCTATCTCCTTTACAATTGACATTCTAGAAAATACCCATAAGATTTTCTTTGCCTTAACAGAGAAATACAATACTTTGTTCATTCAACTAATGTTAGAGATATGATTCCTTAGGCTAATCTCAAACTTTTGAAATCCCATTTTACTATTACATTGAGAATTTCTTTCTACCTGCCTTATTAAAAACTATAGGATGCAATAGCATTCGACACCCTGTAAATTCATTATAAATTCACATAGCATTCACCAAGATAACTCATTTATATCTATGAAATCAATAGACAGCCTTTAAACTAAACTGGAACTGAAAGTATTATCAATACTACAGAAATTTTTAAGCTGTAAATATGATGGAGAGAGCAATGTTGAATAGCTGATGTGGGTTTTTAGTTCTGATCATCTAACCTCCACTACATCAAAACAGTTTTGTGGGGTCCCCATTTCAGACAAAGGCAGTAACCACTTATTTGCTTGCATCAGAAAACTTGCCATCATTCTTCTCAGTTACAAACTTTCTAGCAATCACTACAGTTTGTTGTTTCTAACGCCAGAATATTCCTGGACTTTGTGTATATCTCTCCGTTCTCACTACATAGGTTTGGGCAATCAACATTGATACTTGGTTTATTATAATACACCTTGCATCCTCCAATCTTCTCTCCACTCCAATTCCTTTTCCATGTAACAGCCAGAGTGATTCATTTTCCACCTGTTTCCTTAATTCACACCCAGTTGCCCTTTGAGATAAATTTCAGGCTGCTGCTTAACTCTTCCAGTGATATTAAATTTCTCATTTTTGGTTCCTAGACAGCATCATACTCTTAATTCTCTGCAGGGACAAACTGTGATCCTTCTGGCAGAAAAACTACATTTTCCCACTAGTCTTCTTTTACCCTAGCTAACTTATGCTCAGCATAAAAGTCTCTTCACTCAGAAAAACTATTATGAGCTCCTACAAGTATTTTCAGAAGACTTCCTATATGTTCTCTTGTACATTTTCATTCTACACCCTACTTTTCAACTGCATCCTAATTGTTTATTTACTTGTCTTTATTTACTTCTATGTGGTAGCATTAAAGAAGATTTGGGGTATAATATTTTCTTCAACTGTTGAAGAAAAAAAAGACGAGTCACGATTTGACAGCAAAAGGCATTATTAATATACATTTCATCATAACTCGAATTTATTGACAAATGAGCAGAACTATCTAATTTTCTTCCAGCTCAGGACTTTCAACTCCTTAGCCCTATCCAAGTATCTAAAATAATGTCATTATTACAAAGGCATTGCAGTTCTTTTATATTGTTCCAAATGTGTTTTCTCCCCTTTTCAGGGGGTGGGGAATTTTCTGCTTTCTGGACAAATAAAATCCACTTTTCTCTCACAATCAAGTTTCCTGTTGTATAGGTGAGTTATTACACTGCCAAAACACCAAGGATATTAAATACAATAGACTCCTGGGACCCTTCTCTGTAATGGCCCTTTGTTGTTCTTCTAGGTAGAGGAAAAAACAACGTATATACATTGAACATTTTTTGTTAGAAGTTATATTTATGCTTCATTAATTATAACGCGTAATATTATAGGGATTAATCAAAATTATTTATCCAAACCCTCATTACTAGGATTCTCGGTTATGTAAATCTGTTATAAACAGCATAACAATGAATATTTTTAAAGTAAATGTTTGCCCATTCTTAACATGTAAATTACTAGAAGTTAAACTGCTGGAATAAGTAACAAATATAACCAAAAGAAGCAAGTTTCCTCTTGATTTGGCAACTTTATCTCTTATATTTCCACTAAGTCTAAATTTATGTATTTTTTTTAGTGTTTACACCTTAGGTATTTACTTGGTACTTTGTTAGAAATCTTTTAGGAATTCAAAGGTGACTAATATATAAAAATGCATATACCTATTAGGATTAGTGACAAATACAGAATACCAAAAGACTGAATCCACGTGAATTGTGGATTAGAGAAATAATCCAGTGTCATCCACATATAAAATTTCCTAGCACACCTACAAGTCTAGTTGATTAAATAAGCTCCTTGCTTTGTTTGGGATTAAAAGAACAGACTGTGTGGGGCAATCCAAATGGTTAATGGTAGAGATATTTTAAATAATCATTGCAGTTTATGAAGACCAGAGCCACAGACTGTCTGGTCTTTTGAAAGTGGTCCTAGCCTAACCTACTCAGTGATCATCAGGAATACCACAGGCCTTTCCCAATCCAGAGAATTAGAAACCATGCCCATCAGTGAGGACTACTGCATTCACGTCAGAGATATTCTTGGCTTCCAGCTCATTCATGAGACCACAGGGGCCAATTTAAATTTCAAATCATCAATAGGGCTCATTTCATTTAGAATCTCCTATGAAGCATGGAAAGAAATGCAAAGTTACTGTGTTGGCAAAGCATTTTATTTAAAGTATGGTTATATTTAAATAATCCTTTTATAATTTAATTTTGAATTCAGAAATCCTGGAAAATGTCCATTAAGCAAATAATAAAACCACAGGTCTTTTTTACTATAATTATAAAATTAGTTTCACAAAGGTCAAATTTATTTTCTTAGTAAAAGCCCTTTGTAGTAATAGTAATTATAACTTGGAATTTGATTGTGGTTGTTTAAAGTTTTAATGTCCTAATGCTTATTAAGGAAATCTACAGTGAAATTACTACTAGTTAACTTAGCACTCTCTCTGCAGTGGGACTTCTTGACTACAAGGTCCTTTTGGTACACAACTGGGTAAACCACTGAGATAAGAATCCTAATTTGTTCAGAATATTAGACTTTTTTCTGGTTCAATTTTTTGAATAATATCTAAGCAGAAGTTATTATAATCAGAGTAACTTTTCAAATATACCATCTCCAATTATTAATATAATTTTTAAATTGTTAAATTATTTCTCTATAAAAAAATATACATGTATGCCTGTTAAAATAGGCCTGATATGGCTGGCAGTTTCTGGTAAAGTGCCAGGCCCCACATAACAGGTATTCCAAGTTAGAGGCAAGGTTTAAATTGAAATGCTTAGTTAATAATTTGTAAAATGGAATATAGTGATGCAGGCTCATGTTAGTTCAATATGAAGAGACATTGTAATACCACACCAAGTAAACTTAAAATGTGGTCTTACTGATTACAGAGTAATATATGTTCACTGTAGAAACCTTTCTAAAAAGTACTTATGAATGATAATTGCTTTATTGGTAAATTATGATGAGGAAGGAACAGGATTAAGTGAAGCTTTTAGCTATATTTCAAATATTTTATTTTTTAAAAAGACAGAAAACTCTGAAGCTAATATGTTAAAATAATTGACTTTGTTACATCTAGATCATGGGTATATAGTTTAATTTCTCCATTTTTGAAATGTTTTAAAATTTAAAATAAAATATTTTAAAACCCATAAGCATACCACATAGTGATAATTATTAACATTTTAGTGCTTAGCATTTCAGCTTTTGTTGTATGAATATTTAAATGTACATTTTGTTATAAATATGGAATTATAATTGTTAAATATTTTTGAGCAATGTATTTTACATTTTTCCATAGGCCATATACAGTAAATATTAATTGCCCAAGTCAAAATAAAAATATAAACACAAATCTAAATTTAACATTCTTTTGGGAAGAAAGAATTGCAATTTTATGCATACATAAAGACCAGGTGGTCTTTATGTCTGAAGAACAAGAGAAAATTGGGGGTATTATAAAAAAGAATGTTGTCGGTGGTTGGAGAGAAAGCTCATTTATATTAGTAAAGCTTTGGGGAACTGGCAAGCTTAACTGGTGGGTGATGGCAGCAAGCAAAATTAGTTCCTAGACTTGCAGCAAGTTATCTCAGTAGTTATAGATAAAACTGGTCTCAGGTTATAACAGGCAGTTTCAGCAGCCAGACTTGCAGAGAATTTCTTTTCTAGAGCAATGCTGTGTGCCCTGAGTACCTTGTCCCCCTGGCCTCTAGACTCTGATTTAGTTGAGTATGATAAAAATAATCCAATTTGCATGATCAACTTTCACATAATATATTTTTAACAGCACACTATTCCATTAGGCATTTTAGCTAGCTTTTTAAAAGTAGAAGCTGAGTTAATTCCTGCAATATTGGTTTAAGTATTACCAAAGTGTTCTACAGTGTTTGTACCAAATTAAATACAGAATAACCAATTTAAAATCTTAGTCAACTTTATAGGTGAAAAGTCTTTCATTGTTTTTTTTCCCTACTTTTTTTTCCAATATGTGGAGTTGTTTCATTGCCAGCGTTTTGAATAGAAACACTTTCATTGAGGAATTATGTTTTAAGGCTACCTAAGATTTGTTTCAATTAGGGATGGCCAGATAGGCAGACATGGAAATTACTATCTTGAAGGAGGAGTTTTACTGTACTCACAGATTCCTGGAAACAGGAGGCATGACACACCATGCAGGGCCACATGAGGCAGCCCCACGGTCAGTCAGGAGGCAGAGGGAGGTGGTAAAATGTGGGCAAGAGCCCCTATTGTGGTTTCCATGAGAAGAAATGAGCAATGACCAGGTTTAGGATCAGCTAGTTTGAATAATTTCCGTAGGCATAAGGATAGTTCCTAGTTGTCTGGTACCAGGGCCTGGGAAATTTAGGTCTGGTGGATAATGGCCTGGAATTTGAGAGCCCTATAGAGAAGGGTAGTTAAGGTGTGGGCTCTGTCATGGTTGCTTTGCATTTGAAAGGCAGGCTCCCTCATGAGTTGTCTACTATATCTAGGAATTGACTAACAAGGGTCTGCAGGGCCTTATACCTCAAATTATCAGAACATAGAAAATAGAAAAACATGGTTAATGCAAATTGGTTTTAAATATGATATTTCTAAATCCTGAGCAGAGGTGCATAATGCACTTTGGAGAAAAGAAATTAGACCAAAGACAATACGGTTGTAAAAATTCTTTATTAACTCATTAGGCAAATGTTTACCAAGCATCTACTACATATTAGGCATTCAATCATGGGCAAAATCAGATCCGCATCCTGCTCTTACACTCTGAATTTCATTTTCAAATACATTATACTGGTGTGGATTTCTCATAGTTTCTATTAAAATATTTCAAAACCAAGAGTAACTAATATGCAGTTGGTATATCTATCATTATCTTCTGTCTTCTACATAGGATGGTTTCTCCAGACTTTCAGGTTTCCCTTAGTCTTAACTGTAATAATACTGTTGTATCATTGGTTGTTTCTAATTTGGAGGAACTTTGGATAAGTAACAAATTTTTCTTTCAGTGACTCAAAAAAATAGTGGGTGTACTTTAGGTTAGAATTAACCCTGTGATGTGCTTTAGTACTTGCCACCCTCTGTTAATAAGAACTGTGTTGGCCAAATGTGATATTTGAAGTATACTCGTTATTTGGAAGGAAATTGCTGGAATTTTAAAATGTAGTTCTTATAGAGACATGTTTGATTGGAAATAATTAAATGAACATAAGGAATAGCATTTGCTGTGAAGTTTTACAAAGAGTTTTAATATTGAATTGTGCTCAGTTCACACACGGAAATGGGTGTCTACTTTAGTGACAATGGATAGTAAATGATTAGGTTTTTTTCAATTATTTAAATTCTGATTTCCAAGGAATCATTTGAACAGCTTTTAGTAGTAAAAAACTTTATTTTGATAATCAATTTTGGTTCCTGAGCTTTCTCTCTCTGTATATGACAGATTTTCTCAAATTGATGGCTTATTTTGCAGTGAGTGGCTGGAAAGGATTTTATGTTCAAACTGCTAGAGGTTTATCAGCAGGTGAAATATACTGTCAGTTGCAATGCATGTTTTGTAAATATATATTTTATGTTTTCTACCACAGAGGTATTTTGCAGGTGTATTAGGTCATATTACACAAACTGATTTTTAAAAATGTCTATTCTAATTCTGTCTTCAAAATGGTAGAATGGAAAGAATCACAATGTTGTATATGGCTTTCAAATAATAGACTCTGACATTTCCTAAGACAGCCAGGCATAGTATTATTTCCATTGGCTGTGCAGATCTCTATTGCTCCAACTCTCTAACTTGGTCAAAATATGTTTCCCTCATTCTTTATGTTCTACTTGCATCTTCCTTAATCCTCTTTTCTCATCCTTCTTCATTTATTTACTTATTTACCTTTTAGAGACAAGATCTCACTATGTTACGCAGAGGGCCTAGGACTCTTGAGCTCAAATGATCATCCCACTTCAGCCTTTCCTGTAGCTGGGAACTACAGGTGCATGCCACTGTGCCTGGCCCTCCTCATTGATAAAACATACATATATTCTCCAAATGCAATGCAGGAAAATTGTTTGGCTCTTAATGTCACTTCACACTGAGTTTTCTTGATGATGACTTCAATTTAATAAAATGTTTTTTTGATTCATTTCTTTATTATTCCGTGTGTTGCCTGATATAATATATTGCTGTTGATGGTAAAAAGGAATTTTTCTAAGTCTCTTCTTCCTTTTCTTCCATAGCTGAAGAAAAATCATTATACCATCATCCTAAATTTAGATTCAGAACTAGTCCCACATTAAATTCATATGACAAAGTCCATGGGACAAAAATAAATATGTAAATGTAATTGAGTTATTGCCTAACCTAAAAAGATTAGTGTAAAAATACATAGTATCCTCCCTTGGTAATGATCTAATATTGAACAACTAATAGTTTACCAAATATCCTTAACACGTTTATAAGATTTTATCCTTCCAATAATAGTTAAGTTAGGCAGTCACAGATATCTTTGTTCTTTGTGTGTATGAGTGTGTGTGTGTGTGTGTGTGTGCCAGTGCGCTGCGCACGCCTGTATGTGTGTGTAGTATGTGCATGTATGTGTACATTTATGCATATATTCATATATAATACATAGATATTTTATTCATAAAGATAAAATTTCAAGTCATAGACTTTTGAACTGACCCAAGAAGGCACACATATAAAGTAACATATCAAGGGCTAGAACTCAACATTTGTGTATCTTGATTTAAAGTCTGCACTAGCTTTTTTTCCTTTCTAATAAAATATACAGGCATGTACAAAGGAAAAAAATAAAGATCACCCACAATGCCTGTATGAAAAGGTGTTCACTTACCCAGCAAATATATTTTAAATTCCTACTATGCCACTTTGCTACTAGAGAGAGCCATAGTGAAACAGGTTTAAAAAAATCTATGCTCTTGTATAGAGTTCACATTCTAGTGGCAATGATTTAAATCGCTAAAATGTGCAATATACATTAAGTGATAATGTGATGGAAAAAAATGAAACTGCTGAGATGGAGGTGTGGAATGCAGTGTTAAAAGATCCATAATCAGGGAAGGCCTTGTTGGGAAAATAATGTTTAAGCAAAAGACTTTGTTACAAAAAAAGATAGTATATTCCAGACATAGGTGGGACTGTCATGCTTGAAAAATATCAAGGAGACCCATGTGACTGCAGCAAAGTGAGAAGTTGTGGAACATGAGGTCAGACAGTTGGGGAAGAAGGAGGAGAGGAAAAGAGGCACATAGGCCACTAACATAGGGCTTTGTAGGACACAGCAAGTACTCTGGCATATTTTTCTGAGAAAATTATCTCCTGTTCTGGAAAAAGGAGTGACATGATGTAACTTAAGTTGTAAGAAATCACTCTGAATCCTCTATGGAAAATAGACTGTAAATAGCTGAGGGTATAACATCAAGAGCAGTTGGTCTTATTGTGATAATCCAGGTGAGAGATTATGATAATAGTAACAGATGTCATGAAATGATTGTATTCGAGATATATTTCCCAAAGATAGAGCCAAGAGTGTTTGCAGGTTGAACAGATATGTGTTGTAAAACAAAACATTTAAATATGACTCAAAGTTTTGAGCCTGAACAAACAGAAGGAAGATTGGGATAGAAAGACTTGGGGAGGAGACTGGTTTAGGAAGAAGATTGAGTCTAGTTTTGGATGTGTTCAGTTTGAGATGTATTCATATAATAAAAACTCAATGTCTTCATTTGAGTGGAGTCCAGGGTTTAGGAAAAAAGTTCAGGCTGGAGATATAAATTTGGGATCCATCAATGTTTAGATAATTTTAAGGTCAGGGCACACTGGATGAGCTCACCAAGAGAATGGAGGTAGGAAAAAATGATCTAATAAGGGTTGAGTACTGAGGTAATTCAAAGATACTAACAATAAAAGAGTTAATTCACCTCTCAAAATGTGATTGAGTTCTTAAGTCAGCACATAAGAAAGACAAACTGTAAACATTAATCTTAAACTCCTTAAATCTCCTCTAAATTTCAGTATATGTGGCTTGGTTTATACCAGAGGTTAACTATGGCCATAGAACAAATCGAGGCTGCTGTCTGCTTTTGTTTTGTTTTTTTATGGCCTATGAACTAAGAATTCGTTTTACATTTCTAAATGATTTTTTAAAATCAAATTAAGTATATTATATCAAAATTCTATCAAATTCAGATTTCAGTGTTCATAAAAAAAACTTTAATTACAACACACATGCTTATTTGTTTCTGTGTTATGTATGACTGTCTCAACTCTACAACAGCAAAGTTGAATAAGTACAACAGAGACTATATGTCTCACAAACGCTATTTGCTCTCCGGCCCTTTACAGACAAATTTGCCAACCACTGGTTTATACAATTTTATACAGTTGTATCTATATGTACAGTAAAGTGTATTATATAATTAAGAGTGTGCGTGTGTGTGTGTGTGTGTGTGTGCGAGATTTCTTAGGGTATTTAAGCTTTAAAATATTTAAAGCATTTTTTTCTTATGGAGCTCACTGTTTCATTTGCCTGAGGTAAGCTCACTGTTCTTAGTACCATATTTGAACATCTGTTTACCAAGTACATTGCAAGCATTGTATTTAGTATGAATTTGCCACGCCCATTTTAGAGACAAAGTCAAGGATCAGAGAGGTCAAAACATTATGAGAATACAAACTTGGGTGGATCTGGGTTTTACATCTGGGATCTCTTTTACTTTACCACAAACCCTGTCCTGCCCTTTGGAGCTAAACATGGGGGCATCAGCTCTCGTTCCAGCCAGGTCTCAAGGAAGATACCAGAGACTTGGAGGATATTCTGAGATTTAGATTTGAAAACTCAGTGAAATTAGTTTTAAAAAGAAAATGTTAAGGAATTGTTACCTGCCTCAAGAGATGGGAGCTATCTGTTTAGGGAAGGGGAACAACTTAGTAAATATATATATTTGCTTATTCATAAACTTGTTTTAAGAAAGTGGTTGTTACTGGAGATAAAATGGTGAATGACACATTAGGAAAATTTTCAAACTGGCAAGCAAACAAGCAACTTCATTATGCAAGAGATACAAATAGGATGTGATCTCATAAGACTACTATTATACAATAGAGTGCTAGAGCTTTTATTTCTTAAAGAGTATATTTGAGTATTCATTACTAATGTTTGAAACTTACATCAAGTCAGTCAATAAACTACAGGCATGCCCCTGTCCAGCATGCCTTTTGTTGCACAGTTTTTTTGACTTGAAACTTACCTATGTTGATCTTGAAGATCCAAGATCTTCTTGAATATGTGATCTCAAATCATGGCTGTAACATTGATATATACAGTGAATTAAGTTCATCCCTAACTACTGATATAATCAGAAAAGGACAAGAGTCCTTCCAGGGATTTTGGTTGAATGAAATGAGGTAATAGATTAAGAAAATATTTAAAAAACTTTATGAGCTATTCAAGCTTGGGAAGATAGCTGCTCTGACTGTTTTTACTGTGACTAATTGAACCCCTAAGAAGAACATTTTGCATTTTGAGAGGATATGTGATTCTGTCACTTGTGTCTATTTATAGATAGAATATTTCAGCAAGTGGCACCTTAGTGGCTTGGAAATATGAATACAGCTCAAAAGGGACACTCTTTTCTCTCTCCTTGTGAGTCTTATGACCCATTACTTGATAGAATATGTTTCTAAGAAGGATTTTATGTATTCTGTCTCTATGATCTTTACAGATTCCTTAGTAGATAGTGTCATTAACCTCAGATCTAGAATTTTCTGCTTTTAAAACACAAAAGACTGTTTGCAAATTGCATAATCACATAGTAGGCATTTACTAAATTTAAAGAAAATTAATGCTACATAGTTAACAAATAGAAGGAGATCTTGCCTGTTGACTCGCCTGACAAAGACTTCCAGCAAACCATTATGTTGTTGTTCTGTCATCCTTTTATCTTCCAACTAACAAATAACATTCTGACAGTGTTAAAGGATATCAGAATTTTTCTGCAGAAAACAGCCCTGAGCTGACATCAATGCTTTCACAAAGGAATAAAATAAAACTGTGAAGATATTAGCTTGACATCATGGGGAAAAAATTGTTGAAATGGATTTACATCTAAATCCATTATCCCATTTAATCTTTGCAAAAGACCCTGTGATGTAAGTGTTGTCTTCGTTTTTCCTATGAAGATTCCAGCTCAAGGTGGTTTAATAATGCCTGTGGATACATAATTAAGAAATTGTGGAGAAACAAGACCTAGGTCTTATTCTAGTTTTTGTTCCCTTTAAATGATACAATCTTGCAATACTACCACCCCCACAACCAGAAAATCTAAATTCTCTTATTTCTAGAGCATCTCATTATGCCATCACTATTAATCATGAATTGCTCAGGTAAGAATTAGTGCGAATAGAATTTGAGAAAGGTATATTTTGAATTCTAGATGGAGGGAGAGAGAAGGAAAGATTAATTTTGAGCTTTTAGAAGAGTTAACTGGTAATTGTTGATGGGATCTATGCCCACTGGAGGACACCTTAGGACTCCTCCAAGCACTGTGTGGCTAAAAATAGGGTCAAAAATATAAGAAACTCAGAATATGTGGCTGTTGCTAAAAAACAAACTCCACATGCTTTACAACTTTATCCCTAATTAGAAATGCCTTAGGATCCACTATATGGGGAATTGAGACAACAAGGACAGAAATTCTTAGGAGCAGCTTTTGTATATCTCCTAAATAAGGCTTTGAAAAAGACCTTAGATAAATAAGTGCTTCACTCCTAAAGATATTGTTGATTAATGAGTGATTCATACTTGCCACTGCTATTCTTTCTTGACCTCTTAGTAGCTGGAAAGTTCATAATAATCCTGAAACATGTAGAACAAAAGACCGATGGTCCCTGAGATCAAGAATAACCTCACAAAAGGATTCAAGCTCACCAAATGGTTCAACAGTTTTCCATGTTCCCCAGGTTGAAGGTTTCCTCCTTAGAAAAAGCAGCCATAATCTAGGAAAGTTGTTGCTCAAGAGAACTTTCTGTGATAATGAAAATGTTCTATAAATTTGCACTGTTCACTATAGTAGTCACTAGCTATACCTGGCTTCTGAGTGCGTAAAATGTGCCTAGATTGATTAAAGAACTGAGTTTTAAATTTTATTTACTTTAAATTTAAATGTAATTATTCGGACAGCACACTTCTAGAAAAAAGAAAGGGTGATATGCTAGACCCAGAGCATACCCTAAAATTGAATTGCTTTTGAGACCCACTGAGGAATGTTTGAGTGACACAAACTCCTAATAATTATAGAAATTCAGCCTCTTCTGGGAACTCCACCTAATTCTGGATTGGAGATCCTTGGAGATAACTCATAACTATAGGCTCAGGTACAAATGCTCATTTCTATTGTAAAGACTTTCAGGTGAGAATTTCCAGACAATGGTCTCATTCACTTCTTTAGCAATCAGTAGGACCTTTTACTGTAATATTCTCAAGAGAATAAAAGCTAAAGAAAATATTTGTAGATATTATCTTTCCTCTTTCTACTGCATCCAAATTATACTAAATCTCTATTCAAAATTTCCATTTTAGCCTATAGTAACATTCCATTCCTATAACTGAAGCTCATATATTAATATTTTTATTACAGTCCAGCATCATACAAAGTATAGAACCTTTAGTTCTGAGACTCAGGTTCAAGCCTAGCTCCAGTCTTTACTGTCCCTCTGAATTGAGGGTAACCATTTAACCTTGCTCAGTTTTAATATTATCTGTAAAAGGGAAATGATATATATATATGTCTTTTACAGAATTATTGAAGGAATTAAATAAGATAAATATTTATGTATTTATTTTAAATAAGAGAAATAAATGCTTTCCAAAACTAAATAAATAAAATGCTAGGAAAATGTCAACAAATATAATTACTGTCAACCATCTGTCCTCTCTCTCACAGACTGAACCTTCTTCCCATTTCTAAAGTTATATCCTGATACAGTTTGGCTGTGTCCCTACCCAAGTCTCATCTTGAATTGTGGCTCCCATAATTCTCACATGTTGTGGGAGGGAGCCAGTGGGAGATAATTGAATCGTGGGCGTGGTTTCCCCATACTGTTCTCATGGTAGTGAATAAGTCTCACGAGATCTGATGATTTTATAAGGAGTTTCCTCTTTTGCTTGGCTCTCATTTTCCCTTGTCTGCCACCATGTAAAGTGTACCTTTTGCCTTCTGCCATGATTGTGAGTCCTCCCCAGCTATGTGGAACTGTAAGTCCATTAAATGTCTTTCCTTTATAAATTACCCAGTCTCAGATATGTCTTTATTAGCAGCATGAGAACAGACTAATACATATCACTAATAATATCCTATATTCACATAGAACACTATATTCACAGTCTGCTTTTAAATATAAGATACTGCATGTATTTACTGCCTAATGTCACCTAGATTCTCTCCTAGACCCTGGTCAAATAGCCATGCAAATTACATCTTCTAGAAATATTCTGAAAATAGATTTGATACATAATTGTTGTATACAGTAAACAACCGTGGGTTTCATGTGTTCTCATCCTGGTATGAAAATTTTTGTCAACTACTCCAAAGCTGTTAATCTAATATCTAATTATTTTAAGTAGCAATTCCAGTTAAAAATATTACCTCATGCAGAAAATTGGAAAGTTAGGGAAAATACAATGCTAGAAAGTTAGCATTTCATTGGGCCTCACCACCAGCAATAATGATTGTTAAAATAATTAACAAGTAATTAATGCTATTATTTAATTTCTATGCTTGGATTAATAAGTTCTAGAGATTTTGCTTTGTTCAGTACTTGTATTTCCTCTTCTATATACTCTGCATCCTTGCTATTGCCCGTTTATTTGTCAGGACCTTAGTATATTGATTATCAATTCATGGGAGCACATACTGCATAAAAGATGATGATACCACTTGATCTTTCATATTTGTTATAATATTTTATTCCCAATGCCTTTTTAAAGCTTTTAACATAAGTTGAGGATCTAATTTTTAAATTTTTATGTACTTAAATCTGCAATTATGCTTCTCTCTAAATTTTTTCTTTATTTTGTAAATTATCTGCTCTCCAGTAATTTGACCAATTGTCAGATTTGGTCTCTCCATACCAATATGTCACCTATAGATGTTGTTTTTTCTCAACTGTCTTTGCTCATAATATTGGAGCAAATACAATTAAGAGCTCAAATTGCCAGACAAAGTCATAGAAGGAAAATGTTTGGTCTTTTCAATTCTGCCCAACTTGAAATGATGGACAAAGTTTATAATCATAGATTTTCACTGAAGGCAAAAGGGACTAGCCACATATTGCTGTAGGTGTGTGGTATGTGTGACCTTCTTTCATGTTCAGCACAACTCTCAGAAGTAGTTAGTATTCTTATTTACATGGTAAGAAACTGATGCTATGAGGGACTAAGTAACATTCTAAGATCATACTGCTAGAAATTAGTGGATCTGGCTTCCTTATCCAGGTTCAGTTGGCTCAAAGTCAGTATGCTCTTCCCTGGACTGTGATATTTGGAAGGCCACTTACCTTATCAGAAGTGTTTTTAAAAAATCAAGTACATTCATATTAATGATTCTGTAATAACCACTAATTATCAAACTTTACTAAGAAGCAGTTCCTGCTTAAGACCTGTCATGCTTTATCTTATTTGAGATTGACTGTAATTCTATAGCATTGTGTTATATCCCTGTGTTAAAGATTAGGAAACAGAAGCCCAAGGTCACAGAATTATCAAGTATTGGAGAGAGGCTTATAATCTTGGTCTTGGTTCTAACTCCTGGCGCTTAACCACTGTGCAATCCTGCCTCAAACTACTGTATACGGTGTCATACTTTAAATGACTTCCCAGTCATTTGAGAGTGGGAAGAACCTACCCAAATGAATGGCTACCCAAACAGCTTCTTTAGCATATTTGTTAAATTAGGCACTTGTTATATACTCACTTCCATTTGAATAGTGTTAATAGTGCTTAATAGTTTCTCGGTGTTACAGTGTGCTTTGGTTGGTTGGTTGGTTTTAAGTATACTTTCTATTAGTCAGAGATTAGAGTCAAAAGGGAAGAAACACCCACACAGTCACAGGTTTCCTGGCATGTCCTAGAGCTCCTTTGAAAAATGTGTTCATTCCCTCCTGACAGGAGCCCTGACCCCGAAGTCTGTCAGATTCATAACAAAGCCATGGCATCTATTTTATGTTTGGGGCTGGCCCATCTCTCATGTGCTATCACTTGCTTCCCAAAGGTGCATCCCAGCAGGGGAATCTATTTGAGGAAGTCCCAATGTCATTTTATACTAGATGGTAGGAAAACCTTCACAAAGCCCTCTTTGTCACTGTTATTCTACAAGGTCCTGGAAATACACTTGAATATCTAGCGCTCCGGAGTTTGCATGTTATTCAGAGGTGAGCATTCAGGATGAAAGTGCATAGTCAGAATCAAACAGAGCCTTTCCAGAAGTTTTTAAAGGGTCATGGAAATGAAAAGACTAGTGAATTCTTTCAGATAATTCTGCCTTTCTACATTTCTCACTAGATTTTTAGAAATGAACACTGAAATTTCAAGATAACATTTGTTGCAGGTTCACTAAACTACCTTAAATACCAAATTATTTAAAATTACCACAACATTTAAAAGATTGTAACAACTCATATGTGCTGTATTAATCAAATGCAATTTTAGAGAGTACCAAGAATGTCTCCACAAATGTCCACATGAGCAATCGTCAGTAAACAGGCACGTATAATCCAAGGAGAGAGCTATAAAGCAAGAGCCTAAGGATCTACATTTGATTATCATCATCATTAATAATTAGACACATAATTGATGGGATATGTCATTAGATTTACCCTGTTAAATTTTCCTATCCATGAAATGTGGATAAAATACAACTGTTTTAACTGGTTTACAAGAAAATTGCAAGGATCATCTAAGTACCACCTAAAATAGTTTAAAGCACTTTTTAAATGAAAGAAACTAATTTCTAGGTTTTGCTCCTCCCTGACCAAAATATAAATGAACAAGCTATAAGTCTTGAATCATAAATATATCCCTTAGAAACTGGAAAAGTCAGAATGTTCTATTGCATAAAATCAAATTATTCACAAACAACATTGCTGTTAGGTCAAACATTAAAGCTGCCACAAGTCATCTTTTAGTATGTGGATGAGCATGGCAATTTACTATGATATCATTCAAATTGGGAAAGGCCCTAGAAATGGATGTAAATCCAAACCCTAGGTTGACACAGGTGCAGAGAGAGAAGCCAGGAAGGGGGGAGATGGACATATCCAGAATCAGATGCTGGGATGATGTCCAAGCCAGTAAACAGACTTAATAACCTAAATCTCTGGACACTGATAAATAAGTGCCATTCAGGCCCACAGGCAATATAAATTGGGTCCAGTGTTAAGTAACTCAATGTTCTTGCACATGTTTGCCAAGCATGGCAATGCTGGATGGAAAGCAGAAGTAGGACCATATTAGAGGAGTCCAGTGGAAGTATCAGGAATCTAGCCATTAGACTGTGCAGTTCAAAAACAGATGTCAGTTCTAAGTGTTGCTAACAGCAAGGTAGGATTTTGGTAACCTAAAGTCTATGGGATTCAAGGACAAAAGAAAAAACCAGAAGAAATTTTTATCAAAAATAGAACGTTAGTTCAGAGTGAGAATAGTAGTGTCTAGTTTATTCATTTGTGCATTCAACAAACATCCATTAACTCCTGTGATGGTTAACATTGAGTGTCAACTTGATTGGATTGAAGGGTGCAAAGTATTGTTCCTGGTTATGTCTGTGAGGGTGTTGCCAAAGGAGATTAACATTTGAGTCAGTGGACTGGGCGAGGCAGACCCATCCTCAATATGAGTGAGCACCATTTAAATCAGCTGCCAGCACAGCTAGAATAAAGCAGGCAGAAGAACGTGGAAGGACTAGACTGGCTGACTCTTCTGGCCTTCATCTTTCTCCCATGCTGGATGCTTCCTGCCCTCCAATGTTGGACTCCAAGTTCTTCAGCTTTTGTATTCTTGGACTTACACCAGTGGTTTGCCAGGGGCTCTCGGGCTTTCAGCCACAGATTGAAGGCTGCACTGTCAGCTTCCCTACTTTTGAGGTTTGGGGACTTGGACTGGCTTAGTTGATCCACAGCTTGCAGACAGCCTATTGTGGAACTTCACCGTGTGACTGTGTCAGTCAATACTCCTTAATTAACTCACTTTCCTGTATATATCTATCATATTAGTCCTATCCCTCTAGAGAACTCTGACTAATACACTCCCTACTATGTGCAAATGAATATGCTAGTTTCAGTAATGTGTGGCGGGGGAAGGTACAGTAGCCCTCATATGCTCATGAGGGTGAGCAGAGGGCAATTAGCATTGTGTAGCAGCAGTGGAAGGCAGTGGGGACCAGGCAAAAACTTAAGAGAACTTCACACTTACAGCAGGTGTTCAGTGATAAGTAGAAACTAGCAGTTCTACTTTGAGAAGAATATTTAGAGCAGAGAAAATGTGTTTTTAAATGCCTGTTTTATTGGAGAACAGTAAACAGTTTGATGTTGATGAAGATTAAGGTAGGTATGGGAAACGCAGTGGAGCTGGTGGCAGGGTAGTTGGGGACACAGGATTTGCAGCTGCAAAGACAGGAAACTTAGAGGTCTGTGAAGGTTCACGTGTGCCATGTAAGAGCCTGAGTCTGCATCAGGAAGCACTTGAGGAGGCCCTGAAGGACTTGCAACAACAAAGAATGACTTTGCGCTTTGGCTGTGATTCAGTCAAAGCTTTAATGGCAAGACCATGGAATATCTTTTGGAAATGGTGTCATAAAGCTTGATTTTATTATGTTGAAGGATCTCTGAGTAAAGCTGAATTTGTCATTTGGAAATATGAATTAACTTTATCATATTCTTCTTGCATCTTGTTGATGTTTGCCGTTGTGAGCTTCAAGAACTGAATTGAAAAAAAAATGCAATAGACCAGAGCTCTGGCCGGGCAAGGTGGCTCACGCCTGTAATCCCAGCACTTTGGGAGGCCGAGACAGGCGGATCACGAGGTCAGGAGATTGAGACCATCCTGGCTAACACGGTGAAACCCCGTCTCTACTAAAAATACAAAAAATTAGCCGGGCATGGTGGCGGGCACCTGTAGTCCCAGCTACTCTGGAGGCTGAGGCAGGAGAATGGCGTGAACCCTGGAGGCGGAGTTTGCAGTGAGCTGAGATGGCGCCACTGCAGTCCAGCCTGGGCGACAAAGCGAGACTCCGTCTCAAAAAAAAAAAAAAAAAAAAAAAAAAAAAAAAAAAAAAGCCAGAGCTCTATTTTATGAGATCACTCTGTCACTTGTATACAATAAATTTTGTATAAGACCATATCGATCTATGTATCTATCACAAGGAATAGTGTAGGTTCTAAACACTTTGATCAATAAAACAAGTAGTTTTATATATGCATATAAAAAGGAAGAAATAAAACATATTAATCAAGCATAGACTATAAAAACTTCTCCACAGGGTTCATTTTTCTTTGAAACAAACTACTAGATGTTTTAGGAAATCTAATTTCATGTGAAGTTTTGCTGCATTTTAGTTCCATGAGGAAAATTTTTCATTCATACTTTTTCAGTGTCATTTGATAACAATACAAACTAGTTCATATATTCTTTTAGAGAATGTACTTCACAATTTGATTTGGTTGCAATGTTCATAATATGCTACCAAAAAATTAGTATCCCTTTTAATAAATAAGTTGAAGTTAAAGGAAATACCCAGTATTGCTGCACCTGCCTCAATCCCATTTCTTTACATGAACCGGCCTCATCTGTGCACTAATAATAAAGCTGAACCATGGACATGCCACTGCAGTTGGCCTCCCATAGCTCTGCACTACCTGTTTCTGTTCTGGGACAGTTTATAAGATTATGCCAAGACTGGTTTCCCCCAAACTTGTCTTTGAGTCTCAGGTAGATAAAACAGGTATTTACTTTTCAGAAAAGTAAAGTCCATAGCTATTTATTGAATGCTTGCTAATATTGTTAGGCACAGTTCTAGGTGCTGTTCATGCATTGTCACATGTAAGGCTCACAGCCAATGAGGTAGGTACTTTTATTACTCCCAGATTACAAAGGAGAAATTTGAGGCTCAGACAGGTGAAATAACTTCTCAAAGTCACCCACAGAAGAAGCAGTTGTATACAATGAGCTTGAATTGAATGCAAGTTAGTCAGGCTCCATAGCTCATAACTTGCCAACACCACATTCTTCTTATACTGTGGTCAATACTATGAGAAATGTTTCCCACACTACATAAGTTTCTTCAATGTACCTCCTAGGGTTAGTACTTTCAATGTGCCTCCCACTTAGGGTACCTAGTCAGTGTCCTCACTGTCTTTCAGCTCTGTCTACTGAAATTTAGCCTCTCCTTGGTTTCTGTGGAATTTGGCAAGTCCAGTGCAGTGTCTAACTGGGACCATCTCCTTTTGGCAGCATCAAGTTAGGCTTACTGTTAGTATCCTCCAAACTTGTTGCTCTGGTTTGCTGGCAGCTGGAGTCTAGCTTTGACAGTTACTCAGAAATGGAGCATTGGCCTTTTTTCTCTAGTGACTCGGTAGTTCTTTGAAGAAAGTCATGGGAAGAATATGAGCTTTACACTACAATGACCTGAATGCAAACATCAACTCAGCCATTTATTGTTGTGCAGCTTTTGTCAAGTGATTTGACCTCTTTGAGCCTCAGTTTATCATCTATATAATGGATATTAAAATATATACATCATTAGGCTTTTTGTCAATTTAAATTAAATAATAGAATCTCTCTATATTCATGGAACCCCTGTATAGTTAGCACTCAATGAACCTGCCTTGTTACAACTTTAAAAAAATTATATTCACTTAAAAAAATGGGGTATAACTGAGGTTTACATATGAAGTTATGGGATACATATAGATAGTAAAATGGTTATTACAGTGAAGCAGACTAACATATCCATCACCTCACATAGTTACGTGTGTGTGGTGTGACAGGAGCAGCTAAAATCTAGGTATTTAAGAAAGATCCCTAATACAATACAAATTTATTAATAGTCCTCATGTTGTATATTACATCTCTAGACTTGTTCATCCTACACATCTGCTACTTTGTATTCGTTGGTATCTCCCCATTTTCTCTCCTCCACCCTGGGCCCTGTTAGCCCTAGATTTTTTCTGCAAGTTTGACCTTTTTATTTTAATTTCACATGTAATTGAGATCATGCAACATTTTTTCTTTCAGTGTCTGGCTTATTTCACTTAGCATAATGCCCTCTGGGTCCATCCATGTTGTGGCGGATGGCAAGATATCCTTTATTCTTGCTGAATAATATTCCATTGTGTAGGATGGGTATATATATGCCACATTTCCTTTATCCAGTTGACTTTGGTCGTTTCCATATCTTGGCTATTGTGAACAATGCTGCAGTGAACATGGGAATGAAGATATCTTTACAAGGTGGTGATTTCATCTCCTTCAGATATATATCAAGAAGATGGATTGCTGGGTCATATGGTAATCTATTTTTAACATATTTAGGAACCATCATACTGACTTCCATAATAGCTACACCAATCAACATTTTCACCAACAGTGTATAAGGGTTTTCTTCTCTCTACCCCCACCACCGTTTGCTATCACTTGTCTCATTGATAAGAGCCATATTAATGGGTGTGAGGTGATATTTTTATAGTGGTTTTCATTTGCATATCCCTGATGATTAAACATACATTTTCATATACCTGTTGGCATTTTTATATCTTCTTTGGAGAAATTTCTGTTCAGGTCTTTTGCACATTTTTTAATTGGGTTGTTTTTCTGCTATTGAGTTGTGAGGGTTTTAAATTTTGAATATCAATCCCTTATCAGATATGTGGGTTACAAATATTTTTCCCACTCCACAGGTTGCCTTTTAATTTTGTTTTTTCCTTTGCCAGACAGATAGATGCCTTTTAGTTTGATGTAGTCCTTTTTTTTTTTTTTTTTTTTTTTTTTTTTTTTTTTTTTTGCTGTTGTAGCTGAGCTTTTGGTGTGATATCTAAAAAATCTTGGCCATGGCCATGTCAGTTTTTCCTCTACGTTCCCTTCTAAGACTTTTATGGTTTCAGATCTTACATTTAAGTCCTTTGTTCATTTTGAGTTATTCTTTCTGGATGGTGTGAAATGGTGGTTCAATCTCACTTTTTTTTTTTTTGAATGTGGAAACTCACTTCTGCAAGCACCGTTTATCGAAGAGACCACCCTTTTCCCCATTGTGTTCTCTTGGTGCCCTTGTTGAAAATTAGCTGATCATAAATGTTTGGATTTATTTCTAGGTTCTCTTCTATTCCACCGGTCGATGTTTCTGTTTATCTGCCAGACATCATACTTCGTGATTTTAAATTATAATTTGTAACCTTAGTTTCTCACAGCAGTTCTCTCTACTGCTTCTTCATGTCAGGGTTCTTCTACTCGAATGCCAGTGTTTCTATACATAGAATTTCCCATTGTTTTCTCTGACACTAACTTTCTACCTGACTGGATTTCTGCCATTGCCTGCCATAACCCTTCCCAGTCAGAAATTAGATTCAGTTGGAATTGAATCATAATCCATTTAATTTTTACCTTTTCTTTTGTGGACTGATTTTGGCCTTACAAATGACCTTAAGCTTTTCAGACCCCACTCAACTGCCATTAGAATACTACACGGCAGCTTTGTCCCCACGCCCAGCCACATGTTTTTCTTCTTCCCAAGCTCAGGTTGTATAGCCTGTAGATATTCATACCTGACCAAGTACTTTTGGATGTGCCATCTCATTTAATTTTTGCAGTAATTCTGTTGAAGCACTGTAAAAGGTCACATGAGATAACGGAGACTTGCCTTTTAAAAATATTTAGTTAAACCACATGACATGGCTGATATTTGGATATCTTTGACCTACAAAAACAATTTCTTAGGATTCAATCTAATCCTTCCTTGAATATGCAAGATATGAGTTCTTAAATAGTTTTAGTTCACGAAGCGCATCAGCACAGGTACATATAAATGTCACACTTCATTCTGATATTGTATTTGCCACACTAAAATGAGGAAAGGCATCTTATGTTTTCTTTTGGCATAAAGCACAGGATTCCAAGGGACTAAGATATAATATGATATAATAAAAGCTCATTGTAGTGCTGGGAAAAGTAAGTCATTCATTATCATTACTGCTAATATGTGTAACTGATAACCCCAGAGTTTATTTATAAATGTAGCAAGTATTTCTCACAGCATCCACAAGACAATTTTTAGTTCGAGAGGCTGCATAAAATGAGTACTTTCCCAATACCCATTTAGGCAAAATTATCCACTCAATAAAAATGTTCTAGAACTTTGGACACTGTGTTCTGAGGTCGGATTGTTTTTGATAATAGATTATGAGGTCATGTTTTTCTCTTGTACCAGTGTACCAAGAAGAGGATTTAAATTTTCTTAGTGACAGGAATCTCAGTCTGGGCCTTCTGACTTTCTTCCTGCCAGTATCTTTAATTGCCATGTGTTCTTATTGAGAAGAAAAGTTGTCATCAGGTTCTCTTTGATATTAAAATGGTTTCAAACACCTCGATTTGATTTAATTTAGGTCTGATATTGCTAAGCCTCTACTAAACACAATTTCAAATGATTTCTCTTTGATCACTATTCTATTGGTGAGATAAACTTCTCAGAAGTGGCTTAAAATCTGTTTGCTTTGTTTTTTGACAAAGTTATCTACAGATTTGCCCATTAGCTTTTTCCTATTAATCAAGTTAATTTAAATCTAACTGCTAAGTAGGTTTTCCTTAGAACTCTTTTTAAAAAAACTGTTGAAGAAATGTGTCTCTGGTGGATTATTCTGATTTCCTAAACTCAGACTCTAAAATTGTGTGTTTTCATTTAAGAGTCTGAGAATTGCTAGTGTTCAATTTGCTCAGATTGGATTTTAGTTATGAGAAATCTAGACACATGGAAAAAAGTGCTTTTTAATCAGTTCTTGAAATCAATATAGCAATAAAGCAATACATGAGAAATTATTTTGAAAAAAATTGTATAGGGTGGATGTCACAGAGTATTCTACATGAATACTCATTTCATATCTTGCATGAGGTACTTTATCATTTACACTAAATTATTCTACTTAGGAAACTTCATCACTGGCACATCTTTTTGTAAATAACTACCTTTCCTCAATTTTATATGTCCAATATATTCTACTTTAGGTCAGTTTTTCCCAAACCTCCGCCATTAATTTACTTACCTTTTTATTACCTTTGCCATATTCTAATCCATATTTATTTGTTTCTTTAAATTGATTTTCAATCTTCTTATACTTCTAACTGAGCCTTAAACTATAAAACTATATGTTGATGCATATTTTTCAAATGTACATTAAATAAATACTTTGCTGTTAGCACATAAATTGATAACCATGTACTACCTATAGTTATTATGTCTTCCACTAGACTAGATACCATAGGTATCTGTTTAGGAAAAGCTTTTGGTTGTCTTATATGATCTATATAAATATAGATATTTGATAATACCTGTTTTTATTAACCTGAAGATTGATTGAAATGAAATAAAACTGTGGGAACTTAGTGTATAAAAAAGAACATTATATTTGGTATTACATGAACTAGAAGATCTATCTTCTAATTGCTTTTGTACCTCCTGCTTGCAATATAGTTTTGGGGACGTACATTTCCAAGGTCAAACCAGTTGCTGCATCTACACATTAAAGACATAGAATCATTAAAATAATCTCTAAGATCTCTTTTAGCTCTTAACTTTCTAGGAGAGTCAAAAATTCTTTGTAGCACTCTTGGATGACTTATTTGGGGCAATATGTATTCTAAGCTGCATTACTGCTATATTTTGTAATTAAAATATTTTGTATTACTGGTGAGTATTAACCTTTAATTTTCATATTTCATGTGAGTTGTCTTCTCTTTATTAGAGTTAGATGTTTGTCCTGGTGTCCCAGTTCTATTCCCACTTTCTCATTCAACTACATGCACAGTGTAAGAAGTGGGGTGCTGCTGACATTTAAGGCGTGTAAAAAGGCATGCAAATTATTTAGCTAGCTGAGTTTAGTCACTAGCAGGTAGTAATCATGAGCCATTGTGCATAGTGGATGACAACGGCGAAAATACCTGACTTGTATCTTTCCTATGACATTAGGCAAGCTTATCAAATATTCTGATCCTCCATGTTGTCACCTGAAACAAAGCTTCATTACTGAAGGATATGGGTCAAGGGATGACTGGTCATTCACTGGGATAGTCATGATACTCATTTATATCCCAGTATCAGTCACATTTGACATTCAGCTGGAGTGATGGCAGATGTAGATAACATCGGTCTTTCAGTGTATGCTTCATGGAGGATAATGATGGTTTGCAGCTATTATGTTCAAATGGGACTTAGAAAATAGCCTACTAATTAAATGACTAAATCAAATAAAACTACACATTTTAAAATTTCTCCTTTATTTAAACTTAGCAAATTATATTTTTTGATCTTCTATACTGAGTTTCTGACTTACTCATCTCAGCCCAATTTGTGTATATCTGAGCTTTGAGTGGAATGTGCCCTTCCAAACTATAATACTTCTATAGAATGTGAATATTTTTACACGTTGCTTATGGAACACTCAACTTCTTGAAATTCTCATCTGATTTGCTTTGCTCTTACACAAATTACATGTGCTACACATATATACATTGAAACAAAGCCACTTTTCCAAACAGCAAGTTCTCTTACCATGGAAGTGTGATCCAGTTATCTTTGATATTTCATTTCTCTTAAATATCTTTTAGCAACACACATCTTAGAAAGTGTTGTCATTTTTTATAAGGTGATATATTTTAGGTGAATTTTCATATTTGTAGAAACCTATTTTTTCCACTCTTCACTAAATGAACTCAGATTTGGTTACTCATACTAAATGCTCTGGCTAAACATCAACGAACAGAAATCATTTATCAGTCTAAACCAACTTTATATGCATTTATAGAATATATTCACTTTCATATAAAATTTTACAATTCCGTATATATTAAAGCACTATCTGGACTCAAAATCACTAAATTTGAAGTTTCTATGTAATATAATAACTTCTAAAATGGGAGGTTTATACAATACTACAAAGGAAAATCATATTTGGATCCATGGGTTTTATTTGCTTTTTTGATTTTTTTTCTTTTCAGGATTACAAACAATAAGTCTTACTGTTTTTCAAATTATATCCTTATTTGCTAATTTGATTTACAAATGCACATGATCTTTGAGCACATTTTCTTTGCATCATTCCAATGTTTACGCTGCTAACTTAACTACTTAGATACTTGCCACGTACAGTCTCTAGCTCTTTATGAGAAGCTACAATGGAAGAAATGTGTGACTTGCATTCATAGTACTGTGAATCTGTTCACTCACTGAAATTCACTAAAAACAGAACCTGTTTTCAGCCATTCCTTGTTTCAATCTGCATTCCTTGTCTGAATAACTGTAATAAAATAGGACAAAACAAATTTTGATGGGCAATTTCATCGTAGCCCATCTGTTCGGTTATGCTGGGAGGCAGGAACCTAGTCTTATCTGTCCTGCTGTTTGCAGGGCTGTCTTAATAAAGTTTGGTGAATCAGAACTACAAGGTATTTCATTTACTTCTATGTGTATTCCTGTGTTTTGACTTTCCTTCCCCTGCCCTTCACAGTGGAGTTAAAGCAGGAATCTAGTGGCATCAGAGATTGGAGTCTAAATGAGGTTGAAACTAGACCGGGTATCCTATTCAAGGTAGTCTTGAAAATAGAGCATCAGCGGGACAAGTCCCAGGTAGCCACTAGGGAAAACTGAGATTCAAACACTAGGAAACCAAATATATACTCCAAGTTCAAATGACAAGAGAAATCTAAAGTGAAGTTTCAGAGCCAAGAGTGAGCAGGTGGGCAGAGACCAGATCAGCTCTGGAGCTGATCATAATCCAGTAGGGAGAATTGCTGCCTGTAGCGATGGTTCCTGGAACTACCATTCACCTACTGGAGGCTTCCTAGAATTGAAAGATCATGAAAATGTGGACAACTACCTTAAGAGCTAAAACGAGGCAAAGGTGAGACTTACGGTCATCTCTTACCTTCCTGGTAAAATTTCTCAGATCATCTGATACAATGTAAGACAATCTGCTTGTGATCCATAGGCCACTCGTTCTTCCTCCAAAATGGCCTTGTACATGTTACTATATTTTATTTGAATGTAAACACAATTACCAAGCAGTAAATAATGATTTTCCTTACCCATTGATTAGTGCATGTTGATACTGAAGATGCATTGATTTGTACAAGCCTAGCTTGAAATGGAGCAGATGGGTATGTAAAGGTTTACTCAAAATCAATGTGAATTAGATTGCTGCTCCTCAGTAAAATGAATTATAAGTTAGAATGGCTATTTTCTTTAACTTAATGTAATAGAATGCTGTCTAAGGCAATCTGTTAAGGTAGACTTACTGAAAATGTAGCCTTTGATCTCAAAAATAAGCATTCCCAAAACAACATGATTTAATGAGCAAAGACAATATTATGTCTAAGAAAATGTAGTTAAGGCATTGTAGCAAATGTCCTGGAAAAATGTTTGACAATAAACTTGTTTTCTTTTAAAAAATAATAATCATGTTCTTTCGAGTTATACAGTATTACACTGACTGCTTTTTTTCCTTGATTGTTTGTAAATATTCACATATACATATGTTACAGTGGTTTAATCACTGTACTGCTCACAGTGCAGCAGTGCTGATGGATAGCTTTTGTTAAAGAAATATCATTAACATTTATATCCTTGTTTACTGCTGTTGCTTACAATGTAAAGAAAACAATAATCCATTTATAGTCCACTGGCTGTATATTCAGGCTTTGTTCATTCCTTTAAAAAGAATAGTCCAACCATTCATGTTCCTGAAATATTAAGGGAATAGGCCATTCTTTGTCCAACTTCTTAAATAGATCTTTGAGTTTCGGAAAAACTATGGGGGAGAGAAATGTGTCAAAGGAAGTACCACAGACTGTGTTTTATCCCAGTATAGGGTGCTGCTTTCGCAGAAAAGCGAAAAACATTCCCAAATAAGAGTATATTTTTGTTTTGCTACTGGAATTATTCCTCAGATGGCTTGTGCCTGTTTTTAGAGTGATACAAATTTGCAACGTGTACCTATGTGTGGATGGATGTCTCATAAGTCTATTGTCATAAATGTGACTATTCAGTATATCTTTATTGAGCACGTATGTTGTACCAAGTAACATACTGTGTACTAGAAATTTAAAGAAATAGAAAGCAGAGCTCCTGCTTTCAAGGAACTCAGTTTGATGTGGCACCATGATAGCTCTCAGGCAATTTAAGTCTATACAAGAATTCAGAGAAGGAAGGATGAGATTAATCCAGCCAAAAAGGGTTGAGGCATTTGACTTGGGATTATAAAGATGAATCATACTTTAGAAGCATGGGGAAGGGGAGTGAAGATGGGGTTGGTTAAAAACCTAGGAAATTTGAAAACAAAAAATGAAAATACAAAACACAATTTGGAAAGATGGGTTATGTAAAACAATTGGAGCATGGAGTGAGTGGTGGGGAAGAAAGTAAAGTGATCTTGCATAAATAGCCTAATTTCTCTACATATTTTTCATATTAAACACCCAAAAGAACAGCTTATTTTTGTCTGATATTTAAGTTATGTTTATAAAGATTTTATTGAGCAGAATGTGATCAACACTGCTGGTATTACAAAGCATAGGGGCATGTTGTAGATTAATTTGTATGATGTATCCATATACGGTTTATATGCATATATAGCATAAACGCTTCCTTCAAGATTGGTATATGTGTAACCTAAATTAGTCTCTAGCTCCAATTCTGATACTGTTTAAGTATGTAACATTGGCTAAGTTATAACATTTCTAAAATGTAACTAGACGGTCTATAATTCTTTCAGCCAAAACCTTTTGGAGTGATCTTATGACTTTGTGATTCAAGGCTGAATATTTGGAATCAGACTGTCCTGGATTGAAATCCTAGCTCTCCTGCTTGCCAGTTGTGTAAACTTTATCATTTTGCTGTAATACAGTGCATTCTCTAATCCTCAAATCCCTCTTATATAAAACTAAAAATAGTGTCTATCTCATAGGATTGCCTTTAGATTTAGTGTAAAGTGCTTAGCCCATTTCTGTCACATAGTGAGTACTTAACAGATGCTGCCTATTACTATTGTGCGATTCCATACTGATTAGTAAAAGAATCATATCCACTTAATTTCTGGGCCTTTGAATGTCAAAAACTAGGCCTGTGTCATTCTAATAAGCATGATTAGGCTTTTTAAATAAACATTATTCACCTCAGTCTTGGGCAGTGATTTCTCATGCTTGAATTTTAGTTTTGGCTTTCCTAAGACTTCTTAGTTTAGCTTCTGGCACTCTTTCCAAGACTTATTTATTTTGGAAAACTAATATGACTCATCTCTCAAGATAACTGGCCCTTGACTGCCATACTTGATTTAGTTTGCCCACAGTTCTTGGTAAAAGATCCTGCTACTACTGAGCCCAGTCCCATGGAATCAGCTCTAACTAAGCTATCACTTCAGACATAGAAGAGTAAAGAACAAAGAGTAAAGAAGGCAATGAAGATAAACAACTGAGTGTCCACAGGAACTGGTGGCACCCTATTTTCACAAAAGAATTGGCATTAAGAATTGGAATGGTCCTTGGAAGTTTCTATTCTAACACATATTTTCAGAGTGTAAAAAATGATCACAAATTCTACCCCCACCCCCACCCCACCCCACATCAAGAAGTGAGTCTATCTAGTTTCTCGCTTCTTGAGTCTGGACTAGTCTTATTACTTGCTTTTCTGACATACATGACATAGAATAAAATAGAGTAGGTTTTGATTCTCAGACTAAAGATTTGTATATTTCATCTCTCTCTCTCCCCCACCTCTCCTTTCATCTTTTCCTCTCTCTCTTTCTCTTTTTCTCTCGGAGAATGTTTAGCATATGAGCAAGCCAGTTTAAACTATTGGTGGGTGAGAGACCATGTGTAGAGAGGTCCCATTCATCCCAGTCTTTCTAGTCAAAGTCATCTTAAACTAGCCAACCCCCACCCAACCCAAAAGCTCTTGCCAAATGCAAGAGAAAACTTGATATACAAGAAGAAAAAATAAAGCCCAGCTAAGCCCAGACAAATTGTTGACTTACAGAATTATGAGCTAAAAAAACTGGTCATTGTTTTATGCACTAAGTTTTGCATAACTGCTATACTAAGCAATGCATGAATCACCTCTAAAATACTGCCTACAAGTGGCCAAATAGCTATTGCATTAAGGAAGAAATTTTCTCCCCACATTCATTTTCATGAGTGTGAGGATACTATATGGCTCAATAATTAGCGTAGGTCAACCTTTCAAACCCTTTAAAGTATTAAAGTAATCACGTGAGTTTTCATTATAACAGATTTAAATCACAAATGAAATTGTCAGTTTATTTTTGAGTTACCAAATTCCTTACACAGCTTTTAAAGTTGCATTGTACACTGTTTTGCTTTCTCATTTACTTTAACCCAGAAATACTTTCTAAGCTTAAGTACATTCAAAACTTGTTTTTTTCTCACCTGATTCTACTGATCTCTGGGATTTGTTATTTTCAGAATCCATTGTTTGTTTTGCTAACTTTTTCTCGCACTGTATTACCTTTCTTGGCTTAAAAACCCAATAGGCTTGGTAAGCCAGATGTACGCCTGTCCAACCAGCTCACCCCAGTTTGAATCACTACTCTTTCATCTTCTCTGCCTTCCCAGTATGGCTTAGATATTCTCAAGCCTTGGCTTGCTTCCAGTCTTTTCAGAACAGTATTCTGAATTATGTCTATAGCATTTGTTTTAACTTTTTTTTGTGGAGCGGGGGGAAGCTCAAATGTTCTGATTATTTATTCTGTGGATTTCTGCAGTGGACCAGTGAGGATTCTGCCTGTCATAGTTATCTCCATCAATCCATCAGCTAATTGCACGACCTTTTCTTAAAAATGCAATTTTGTTGCAATCACTGTTCTGCACACTCTGACCCATTATGGTGATGAAAGAAAATTAAACCACATTCTAAAATATGAAAAAAAGCAAAGAACAGTGTGATGAAATGAAATGGTTATGTCTATATGCTGAAATGTAAATGTGGGCAAATTCTTTTTCTGTAGGGAGTTTTTATGTGAAGCTCTTTTGGAATAAATATAAAAGATAAAGACTGGAGTTAAATAGAAGTGTTGAATTGACTCCCCAGACCTATGCCTTCCACATCATGTTTATGCAATTGTGTTTTAAAGTCAATGTCTATATTCATCTGAAAATATCACCCAAGTGCTTTATCCCATCTACAAAAAGAATCATATTTGAGAACTGCCTAGTGGGTAGGCATAGACGTCTCAATCCCTGTATAGCCTTGAGATGAAACTATCTAGGGGGTCTAAAAAATGAAAGTCTTCAACATATATCTTTCAATAATTATTTTTTGTGTTAAGAACATTAAAAATCCATCATCCTTGAATTAAAAATTGCATGAGCTAAAAATCACACAGGTTATATATATTGAATGGAATAAAATGAGAAGTATACTATATTGACCAGAGGTAAGATACTGTTGTATTATCCTTACAGAATTTAAATGAAATCATAATTTCTATTTATAGGCAAGCTATATGGTATTGAGACAAGGAAATAATTTACAACTGTTATAGTTATAGAAAGGTTATTTCTAATTTTATCTCATGGAGTTAAAATAGAAACTTAATTTTAAGTTAATCTCACTTTTGGGAGTGTAATAGTGCAACCTCTTTGTTAGCAAGAATATTTTTAACCTAACTGTATAAAGCATTAACACATTGTGTAATATCACTTATCCTGTAGGAAATCATCAAAATCTGATGATTACGGAAGACTGGCTTTACAAGTTCAAGGGAGAATATCTCGACTCCAGTAAATTCCATCAAGACTGAGAAAAGTGTGATCACGGGCAGTTAGAAAGTATAGCAAATTCATATCCTTAGGCTGCTTTCTAAGGATATCAGTGAAAATGAAATCAGACCTTTCTTAAAATGCGGTTATCTAACACAGTATTTTAGAATTAAACTTTTAATCTGTTTTCTTATATGACTATTGAGTATTGTTATCCTTCACTTTTGTTGTTTTGTTTTGTTTTGTTTTGTTTTGTTTTGTTTTGTTTTGTTTTGAGACGGAGTCTCACTCTCTCTCCCGGGCTGGAATGCGATGGCGCGATCTTGGCTCACCGCAACTCCACCTCCCGAGTTCAAGCGATTCCCTTGCCTCAGCCTCCCAAGTAGCTGGAATTACAAGCTCCTGCCACCATACCTGGCTAATTTTTGTATATTTAGTAGAGACGGGGTTTTGCCATGTTGGCTAAGCTGGTCTTGAACTCCTGACCTCAAGTGATTCGCCCGCCTCGGCCTTCCAAAAGTGCTGGGATTACAGGCGTAAGCCACTTCACCAAAGAGTTATCCTTCACTTTTTATGTACATTTGCATTCTTGTACTTTTTGCAAAAATATAACTGCCAGTTTAGCACCTACTAGACAAACTAGTTCAACATCGTTCAATTTTCACATGAAAATTAGCATCCCACCTAGTTGGGGTGATCTTCCCATTCTGTTCTTTTTTCTTTTCAAATGAGTAAAATCATTAACTTCATAGAGGCTTTATTTATCCATTTATCCTATTCACTGAACACCTTTACCAAGTGTGTTACTAGTTTAGTCTCTGGGTTTCTAAGAATAGATACGTTTTTTCCTAAGCAGGTCACAATCAATTGTTGGATATAAATGATTTTCATACAACTAATTCCCAAGCATACCCTTCAATTTAAACCAGAGCAATACAGCTACCCACCCTCAAAGACAAAAGGAAAAATATATTTGTGCTCTATTTATAAATTGCCAATATTTTAAAAAGAGAATGAAAAACTTTGACCTTATGCTAGAACTTGCCGTTTTTATTATAAAAAGTTCCACAATTTCATCTGTGCATTACTATGATTCATCCCAAAATTGTTTTAAAGGGTAAGTATTCCCAATAAAATTAAGATTCAATTTGGAAACAATATATCTATTTCATAAAGTAAGGTGGACTTCTGTGACAAGATCATCCTATAGATGAATTGAGACTTGACTGAAGTAAGGAAATGTTTCTTCACCAGCTTTATTCAGAGAAAGTGGCTTAAGTCATCGACTTAGGATTCCATTGTCTGCATTCTTTCCTGTTAGATACTCAGTAAATATAATTAGATTGATTAACTGACTAAACAAGTCTTACTTACTGCATGAGAAGAACTATCTCTGTAAAAGGAAATCTCCCTTAGCAGCCAAATTTTCTGAATGATGTCTTCAATGTGAAGAGTAATAAGTATTTTCCTCCACAGAAACCTGACCCAATATCAGCCTGGTGAAGAGACCTAGACCTCTGGCCATTAGTGTGAAGTCAATGCTATTGACAATCATCAAAGATTTTCATCCTTTCCACTAGAGTACTTAAGAACTAAATATCATTGATGAGAACTAAAGCCTGTTGATGTGTTCCTGTAATTTTAATTAATAATACATTAAATTTTTTTCCTGATTGTATGAACATATATCATTTAACAATGATTTATACCAAAGCCATTAGGAAAGATTTAGTGTCATATCACAGCCAGTTATTCTCTTTTCTTCTTCCTTACCCCTAAAAAATGTCCCAGATGCAGAAAGTCATAATCTGATATTCAGATATTTACATTTAAAAGGTTCCTGTCTTTTAAAGAGTTTTCAAAGTTCTATCTTTGTCTAAAATATATAGTTTAGAAAATATAATGTACATGTGTATTGCATATATGTATATTACAAATTTAAGGATGTATATGTCACTCGCTATATATGTAATTAACATATTTAATCATGAGCACTATGCCTTGCATATGTAGCACAGCCTCAGACATAAGTCATACCTAGAGAGGAGTGTGATGGAAACAACCAGAACCTCGTAACAAGATTGAGTAAACCAACTGACATCTTTTAGACTGAGATATCAAGTACAATGAGTTAAACTGTTAAAGCAAATTCAAATCTGCTCCAAGTGAGCATTAATTTTTAACATGTATTATACATGTCACGACTTCTGAGCAGTGTTAATCAGGTGAGAATTCTCAGATGAGAACTAAGGTTATATGTCAAGGAAGCGGGAATTTGCGCACCGTGGGAAGAATTCCTCTGTATGATGGACAGAAACAGAGTTGGAGTCCAACAATGATTACTGTGTGGAAAGTGATCACCAGAGAAGAGGGAAGGCGGAAAGTATAGTTACACAAAAAAGCAAGTCTAAGTTTCAATCAGGTGATCTCAAATAAGTCAATTCCAAATGTCACTTAAGGTACAGGGACTCCAACAAACTGTGTCAAACATTTAAGGTGAGCATATAGGGACTGATTAGACTGGATTATGAATGATATGTAAAGGAAGAAATACCATGGAATACTCTCCCTTAGACCAGGTTGGACACTGTGAAATGAATGGGTTTCATTGTTGCTACTTTTTATGTTCATTATTTTAGTTAAATAAACTCCTTTTTTAAAAAAAAATTGAAATTATATAACAGAGTAAAAATAGAATTCACTTTTTACAGTGTAGAGAGTTTCTGGTTATAAAACAGCTGAGATGTAAACCATAAATGAGATGAAACATAAGTGATTCGAACATAAGCAAGATCATTCTAAAAATAACTATCAGGGAACAAGGGAGTTCAAGATGTTAAGATCCCTTATCTATGTGGAAAAATGGATGATAACTTTGTCAATCCCCTCTCTAGAAATGAAAACAAAGAAAAATTTAAAAATGAAAAGGTTATTAGCAAATGGTCCAGAAGTAGGCCAGGCAGTAGAAAGCATGATTTTGTTAGCCATTAGTTACATAGAGCAGGTTATGTACGTCCCTACCTGGAAAGTCATAAAACATTCCTGAAAATCCTAGCTGGCATTTCCAGCAAATTGTGAGAGAACACAGTTTACATTCTGAAGCCCAAGAAGCATTGTTTTTTTAATATTATGTACCATTTCACTACTTACCATTTCAAGAGTATAAAATAACAATAGAATTGGCCTTCTCATTCTGATATTTTAGAAAATTCCACATTTTCACGGTTCCTATTGCAAACAAGAATAAAATCTTTTGGCAGAGCCTGACTATAAAAAGATCTAGAAGCTATTCTTATAATGTAAAAAAAGAGTATGTTTTTATGACCTTGCCAATTTCTCTATTGATAAAGAGTAGGAAGTGTGGATATGATCTATAAACATATTTTTAAATGACAGGCATAGATAAAGAATTCTCTGAAGCAGAATAATTTATGGAACAAAAGCAGTTAAGGATGAAAACATTTATCATGGGAAATGGGAATACTGTGAGTAAAAAGTTCAAGAATAAAGTATGATTTATGATAATAGAGATTCTCACAATATTTTCAGAACTATAGTTGAATAAAAATATGTAGTATTTGATTGAAAACCAAAACAGTGGATTAATGTAACTAGAAAAGTTTGGGTTTGGGCCAACAGCGGACATTGAAATATGAGTATATTTTTAGAATAAACATCTATATATAGCTCCAGTGAATTCACTTTGATTAAAAGATAATTCAATGGATAAATTGGATAAAATATGTAAAAAAAAAATTCTCTGGCTCTGATGACAAAAAGGCAGTTTCACAGATTTGCTATCAGAAATTACTTTTTCATAGAAACCTACATATATTTCTCTTTTATTCTGATATGAGCTTCTCATGTGAGATTAGTCAGTGTGAAGGCCAGTATAGCTCAGACAAAGCTGACCACAGCATAGAAACCCCTGCCAACACTAAGGTCACACCCCTCTCTGGGGTGTGACTGACCAGATGCAGGCCTGTCTTTCCCAAAGAACCATGGCTGCCACTTCTGTGGGATGAAGGCCTTTTTTAATGGAGAATATCTAGTCAAATGTCTCCGTAATATTACCTTCATTGTTCGTAGAGTAAAATGTAAAGGGTTTTAACTTCAGAGGAACTGTGCACAGGCAGGGAGGTGGGTGAAGTTGACCTAATGCAGAGATGGGGAGCCACAGCTCAGGGTCAGGTTTGTCATCTCTTAATTCTGTTTATGCCATTGACTTGTTATTGGATGGTGCACAGGTAATTGATTTATCTGGCTAAGTTTTCTTATTACTAAAATGAAGTTAACATCTGCATCATACAGTTATAGGAACAGGGCCTGGGACAGAGGAAACTCTCGGTAAATGTTGGCTATTGTAATTATTACCTTAGTATGACATCCTCCCGAATTCTTCATAACTTTTTGGTAACTGGTAAGAGATGTTGAGGGGTAACAAGATCCTGCTGGGGTACCATTCTCCTTGACTTCCTTCAAAGGTCAGATTTTGCTGGCCTTAAACCACAAGTCATCAGTAAATGTACCATTGTGTTCCGGAATTGTAAAGTATCTAGTGGAGGCTTTAAGAAGACACCGAGTTGTTGTTGTTGTTGTTGTTGTTTTCAGGATTATACTTAATTTAGTCAAGACAGATTTCTTGTGATGTAGGTTCCGTGTCTTGAATAAATAAGTACAATTCTGGAAAAAAAATGTTTCAAATAATGGTAATATTAGGGAGACATATAAAAAATTTAGGGAGCCCTAAAAAGCCTGAGATAGAATTGGTTTCAGATGACACTAAGTATCTCGTATTTCCAAGGTACTTTGGGAGAGGCAGCATGGCACTATAGAAAGAGCACAAACTTTGTAAACAGACTGGACTAAGTCCTGCTCACTTACATGTAACCTGGGGTAAGATTCATTTATAGAAGCTTCAATTTTCTTGACTGACGTAATACATATGTGCCTGATTTCTGTGAAAATTAAGAAATGAATGTACAATACCAAAATAATACTTCAGTGTCAGCTCTCAGGAAAGGAAAATCAAAGACCTCTGTTTAAGCATTGCATGTTTGCTGATACCATGTCAGTACCACACATAGCTTCCTCAAACCATTTGAGTAATTCTTAGATCCTGGATTCTCTTGGGTTCTATGGTTTGAATATTTGGCCCCTCCAAAGTTAATGTTGAAATTTAGTCCATCCATAAGGACAAAGCCCTCATGAGCCAGTCTCCTCTTAAAGTGCCACAGTAGAGATTAAGTTTCAACATGAGGTTTAGAGGGGGCAGATATTCGAATCACAGCAGGCTGCTATAACAGAATACCATAGACTAGGTAGCTTAAACAACAGAAATTAATTCCTCAAAGTGCTGGAGGCTGAGAAGACCAAGATTAAGGTGTCAATGAAGTTTCATTCCAAAGCATCTTCTCTTGGTTGATAGGCTTCTCGCTGTGTGCTCACATGAATTCTTTACAATGTGTGTGTAGAGGGGGAGAAAGATATTTAAATTTCTGCCCAGTCTCTTGAAAGATCACCTTGGCTTTCATCTCATAATTCTCACCTGATCCATACTGTTCAGAAGTCTTAACATACATAATCCATTTTAGAAATGATGTGGCCATGAATCCTATTGGATTGGAGCCCTGCCCTGAGATTTCATTTTTTAAATTTTCCTCTGAAAGACTCTATTTTCAAATATAATCATATTGGGGGTTAGTGTTTCAACATATGAAGTTTAGGTGGGGGATACAAGTCAGTCTCATTGAAGATAATAAGGCATAATTACTGAGGGGGATTTATATATAGGTAGAAAAGTAGAGTGGGAACAGATCTTGAAGGTCTTCTAGACTAGTCTAAGGGGTTTGATTTTATCCTAAGAGATCCAAAAATCATTGAACAGGTTTAAAACAACAAAGTCTGATATGCGTTTTTCAAAAAATTACTCTGGTGGCTATGTGGAATATTAGATGTAAAGAGGAAAAAGCATAAACAGGAAAACTAGTTAAGACTACTTCACAGTCAAAAAATAACTTGGGTGAGGACAGCAGTAGGAGAAATGGCATAAGTGAAATGGGCTAAGATATGACATAGAGTTAGTCAACAGGGTTTGTGAATAAAGTTAATGAAAGGGAATGATGAAATAGAAGCACAAAGTCTTCTAAGTTTCTTATGAGCTGCTGTGTGGTTAGAGGTACCATTTGCTAAAATGGAGAAGATTGAAGGAAGAACATTTTGGGGTTGGGTTGGGCTAGATCCAGAGTTTTGTTTTTAGATTTGTTGAGGTGCCCTTCTAGATATTCAAGTGTAGGTGTCAAATAGGCAGACTTATAAATCTTGAGTTAAATCAGGCTTAGTGTTAACTTAAGAGTTATAGATAATATTTAAATCCATGTAACAATTTGAAAATTATAGCTAGTATTTAAATCCACTGGACTAAATGAGATGCCCTAGGAAGAAAGTTTCCATTAAAACAAAAGAGTCTCAGAATTAAGTCTCAGGGCACAACATTTAGAAGGCCAACATAAGAGGAGGCACCAACAAAGAGAACCAAAGATGGCTATAAAGTTAGAAAACCAGAAGAATGTGGTGTCATGGAAGCCAAGAAAAGATAAGCTAGCAAGAAGGGAATAGGCACCTGAGTGAAACCCTGCTGAGAAGGGAAGATGAAGACAAAGAAGTGACTATGAGATCAGGTTACATGGGAGGAATTGGTGACTTAGAGGAGTTTCAATGGAGTGGTGTTGATAGAAGCCACCTAAGTGTAGATTGAAGGCAGAATAGGAAGTGTGGAAATGGAAAATGACAACATATGCTAGTGTCCCTTAACCCCAGATCCACCCATGGAACTTTAGAGAATTTCCAATGCCTGATCCCATACCAGAAGTAGAGGGATGAACTTGAAAGTATTTTTGAAGCTGGAGTATTTTTAATGAGTTTCCAGGTAATTATAATGTTGCTGTCAATGTTGTGAATCACTATTATAGACAAATGTTTCTAGAAGTTTTTGAGTGTGTGTGACAGCAGAGGGGTGACCATGTGGCAAGAAAAGTATATGTTGTTATTACTGTAGTTTTGATTGTATTTTTAATAGAAAATACAAGAGGATATTATGAATTCATGAGGAAAATCCTATATAAAGGGAGAGAAACTGATGATTCAGGATTAAGAGGAAACAATAGCAAAAGGAAATTTCTTGAGGAGGGCAGAGGGGACAGAAACTCTGCATAATTTTAGAAATCACATCTGATGGTAACAAGGGTAGGCATTTTCGTTTTAACCACTGGAGGAACTCAACTTGCTTGGTTTGCACCTATACTCTGATCCTGAGTAGGGAAAGGTAGAAAACAAGGCCTTAAGCTTTTTTTGTGTGTGTGTGCTTTAATTAAATCTTAATTTCCCATAGAAACATTAGTCTTGGAGTCATGATCAGGAGGTAAGTCAACATACACATAAAAATACTCACCTATCCTTTATTTAGTTAAATAAGAATGGACAATCCATTAATCTATTTAATACAGAACTTTCCAAAGTTTAAGTACACAAGTTTAACCACTTATACCTGACATAGACAAATATATAAATAAAATGAAAATTCATTGCCTAAACTGATATTCAATGAGTTATTACAACATATTAGGAAGAGATGCTCTCATCAAGAATGGGAAATAAAGGTTACTTTTCAGTCAATAGTACAGAAAGCTTTGAAGATTCTAAAGCTTAATGTCTTCATAAAAAATTAGCCTTTTCTCAGATTGTAAAGAAGTTACCTGGATTTGTAAAGAAAAGAAGTGGTTTAATTCAACCTCCAGAATCCACCAAATTGAGTGAGATTTTATTGTCACACTATTTTGAAATTCGTCTAGTTCAAGAGAAGAATAGAATTTGCTCAGGGTTGTAATCCAAAGAAGTCAAGACCTCAGCATATGGAAGAATCCTCTAATCCCCAGATGTACTGATTGATTTGTGCGGCTGCAAATTTTTCCTAACAACTAGAGGCAATAGAAAATAGATTTCTGGTCCCTGGAGCCCTATTAAGAAATAAGTTTGCATTCAGATATCTATGTACAAATGCATTCATGCCAATGTCATTTGTAATAATACTTGCACACAGATAAAATTTAACAATCAACGACAGGGGACCAATCAACTAAATCATGATACTTCTATTAGGTTATGATACAGCCATTGAAATATTTACAAGGTGTCTTTTATTAAGAAATTTCTTAGGAAGTGAGGTAAAATATAAACACACAAAATATAGTATGTTTTTAGCTAGCCGAAAAAGACATACAAAATAAATATCAAAGGTAATGTTACATATGCTTATTTTTGGGTAGTGAAATTGTCTGTGATTATCACTTTTTATTCTTCCCTTTCAGCATATTTGAGTTTTCACAGTGTGCATACATTGCTCTATATTTGAAAAAAAATCATTCCTTTTACACATAAACCTAAATCATGAAAATTGTATAAACTCCATTTACTTTTTGCCCTTTTCAATATGATAATTTTAAAATAAGTTAAAAGATAAACTCAGTTTTTTATTTAATCATTAATACTCTGTCAAAAGAATTCTTAGAACACTTTCCTTTTTAAAGGACACTATTCCTAGGAGCTAAGATAACTGAAATTATATTTTGGTTTTAAAAAGTCAAAATATTTAAAGAAGTATTTTAATGTCAAAGTCAATTAGAGTACTGAAAACTTATATAAAAAATGAATCATTTGCAAAAATATTTCCTCAGTTTTCATACATTTTATGGCAAACCTTCAACACTTATTTATTCCAGATGCTAAGATTAAGACATCTGGTACAGTGTGAGGAAACACTATTTAAAAAGAAAAAATACATTGAATTTAGTTGTGCTAGTAACCAAATTAAGTATAAGAAATGTTATAACAAAACTGAGATTGTATTACATATATGTACTTGTCATTTAAATTGAGGCTTGAATCATAATGGCACCAGAATTTTCTGTTTCCTTCATCTTTGATTCTGACTGTCCATGTCTTGATCATTCAAAACCTTGAAGATAATTTTAAATTCAAATTCAAAACCTTGAGAGCTGATTGTCTGGTTCAGACCTTCAATCTGCTTAGAAAAATGTTGTCCAAAAAGATATATTATTTGTTGAAGAGCATATAGACAGTAAGGGATAGAACAGACAACTTCATCACTGGACTTTTTGCCCTCAAAAGATCTTGTATAAAAATCAGACCTGCTTTTAAAATAAAAGAGCATCCCATGTTTCCACTGCTTTTTATATTGTCTTTACTTACATCATCATTAAGTCAAAAGACATAAAACAGGTTTTGATTGCAGAATAGTAACAACAAACGTTTTCCCATATTGGGCACAAGTCTTCCCTTGGCCTTGTAATAGCCACTTAACAGGTGTGGCAGGAGTACTGTTTTAAGGACTAAAGATTCTTACAGAGTGTGAACAATAACAAAGATACTCAGAGCTCTGTGGGTTTTGTTTATGTTTTGCTTTATTTTATTTAAGATTTCATACTTCTGAGTGCCATTTTTTGGTCTCAAGAAGTGAGGCTAAAGTTGTGTTCAAAATTTGCTACAACTCCTCAAAGCCTTTTGTGAGTGCCTCCTTCAGACTTGTCAACTGAGACAGTTCACCAGTTATAACATGAAGTACTGTCTTTACTCCCAGCCTTCTTCCTTTCCCGGCTTTCTTCCTTCTTCACTCTTGTGCAGTATAGAATTGATGTTGTGACTTGGGAGACTGAAACCTCCATTTTGCAAATTGGTAATATGATTTAATTATCTATATTGCTGAAAGCCATTGAGATACAGGGTGAATTTCTAATATTCGGTAAGCATCATTCAAATATTTTATCTAGATCTCCCTTTGTTGAAGAAGGAATACTTATTAATCTGGAGAAGTTGTGGTAGTTGTTGTTTTTCAAATCTTAATTAAGCACTATTGCCTTTTTGTCCTTAAAAGCATATGGGGAGACAGTTAAATGAGTTTTCAATGAAAAGTGAGCTGATGGCTCTTGTTTAGTACAAGGAAAACCGATGAGCTGTTGGAAGAGTTAGAAGCCATTACCAGAGATAAGGCTCTAAATTAAAGCTGAACTATAAACTTCAAAATTGAGTAAGGAAAAAAAGGATGGGAGAACCATTACCTATCTAATTATGATGCAATTCAGTGGCAAGTATGTAAAGTTTATTTCAAGTACTCTAACTATACCAGCAGAAGTTGTCATTGCACATAATTGTTTCATTAGTTATGACTTGTAAACACATGGAAACATGATTCAACTGCCCCTTTTGCAGTCAAAGAAAAGTGTGGCTTCCCTGATGAAGTGTTGATTCCATATTGAGGTTTGAACTGACAAACCCAGCTTATACTGTACTTTGAAATGCTCCAAGCCCAGATTTTTATTTTTTTAACTACCCTTGTTTTAAATATCTTTCAAAAAGACAACGAGCTAAATAACCAATCTAATAGATAGATAGTGATTTAATTAACCTCAATGATTAAATCTGATCAGTTATTTAGAATACAGTCATTCATTTCCTGGACAGGGAAATGTAAATATAATCTATAGTTTTTCACAGAAATAATTTTGTTGTTGTTGTTGAGACAGAGTCTCGCTCTTGCCCAGGCTGGAGTGCAGTGGCGCAATCTCGGCTCACTGCAAGCTCCGGTTCCCGGGGTTCATGCCATTCTCTTATCTCAGCCTCCCAAGTAGCTGGGACTACAGGCGCCCGCCACCAAGCCCAGCTAATTTTTTATATTTTTTAGTAGAGACAGGGTTTCACCATGTTAGCCAGGATGATCTCGATCTACTGACCTTGTGATCCGCCCACCTCTGCCTCCCAAAGTGCTGAGATCACAGGCTTGAGCCACCGCATCCAGCCAGAAAAAAATTCTTAAGACTAGTAAGAAGACAGAGAGGACAGGCCCAAGATAAAAAGATAGAGCTATACATAGGGACAAGGAGGAAACACAGTAAGTCTTCACTTTAGCATCACCCTCCGGAAAAACCCTGGGCTACTTTCCTTTGCTCATTCCAGGAGGATCTAATTTAGAGTGTCCTTCTTTGCTCATTGGGCGCTTGCTTCCAAGGAACGATAATGGACGGAAAGAGATGTAACCACTAGCCTGGGAAATTTATCACTGAAAAAGGGCAACAAGAACGTGGACACTAATGCAGGAAGACAAACAAACCCACGCAGCCACCAAGAGACTAGCTTCAAGAATCAATTTATTCTTCCCATTCTCATTCACCTCATGGGGGTCAAGACAACTTGACTTTAATAATGCGATTTTCAAACCACTTACAAATCACGCAAACTGTGGTCTTTCTGATACGCTCTTAGGAGAGGGACTGTTTTTTTGCACGGAGGGATTAGCAAATCCGACTGCATGTATGCTTTTGAAGCAGCTTTAAGTTTTAAAAGGGAAAGGCTTCCATCTACTGGATACTTTGAGTAATAAAGACTATGAGAATCCACATGACAGATTTCCTTTTGTGCCGGCAATGCATAACCTGGCATGTTCACTTAGAGGTTTTGTAATTCTTTTAAAATACATTTTGTTGGAAGGACGTAGTTGTTACTGAATACGTTCAGCTTTTACAAAATACAAAGCCCACAATATATCACAAAAGAGAGACAAAAGGAATATATAATTTGCCCTTCTTTTCATTTGGAAACAATTGGATGGAACAGTTAAATACCCAACAAAGACATTCTATTTGTTAAGAAAATCCACAATAAGCATAGCTTTAACTGGAATATGAAGATGGTTGAAACAGAATGGGGTGTTTCAGTCACCTCACTTTTTTTCTTTTCTAAAAATTGTATTACTTTTAATGAGCAAATCTCATCTTCATTAGAGTCTGCCTATTTTGAGTTCAGCTACTTCTATTTAATGACACATATTTTTGCTAATATATTGCATTATATAGTCAGATAAGAACACGGGTCTTTTCCTGGGCATATTTTGTAGATGGGATACATTTGAGCTAAATCATGTAATCTTTGTTCAAGTCAGCACATAAAGATAAAAAATCTTTTTTCCAGCAGATAGATTTTTTAAAAGAATGTAAGAATTAATGCCTTTATTTAAAACAAATTTAGTTAATAAATTTTTTAAAAGTACACAGAGTACAACATTTTAGTGTCTGAGTCTTAATGAAATCTCTTAAATTTATATAGAAGTCAAAATTAATATCAAAATTGTACTGAATATCTTTTATACCAAAGAAAACAAGCAAATTACAGGTTAATAGTGTCAACTTTTAACTATGAGAATATTATGGCAAAAAGGACAAAACTGAAAAATCATGAGAATTTTTTTAATTCAAACTCATTAATATGTAGGACAGTATTATTCGTGGATTTTCCATGTTTCCATAAAGTGAGGTTGAAGAAATAAAGCAGAAAAATCTTAAGACTTGCCCCCTAAACTATAGTAAATATCTAAGGATTTGCAGATGCGTTCTCTCAGCTTTATACCTTCCTTTATAAATTAATAAATATATAATCCCTCACACCTAGAAAAGACTAAGTCTTGCTAAAGCAGATTCCTGTCAGGGTTACTGTAGAACTTATTTTGAATATTCTTAGTACCAGAACCTGGAATATAATACAATGTTAGGATCTACCTAGTTCAGATATATCTTTATAATTCTACCTGCAGGATTACCTCAAAATAGTATTTTTGAAAACAGTGAAATGATGTGCTGAGAATAATAGGCAATGTAAATTGTTCATATTTAAATATATATTAGCTTGGTAAGTATATACAACAAATATTAAATTACAGAAGATACTATGATAATTCCTCTTTGATAAGGACCTAAATCTTTTCATTCAGTGATATCTTTTCTGGGTTGTCTGGGTTCTGTTCATTGTCTTTTTTGTGACCAAGCTTTTTTACACATTTATGGCCCATGCTGATTGACAATGGAAATGTTTATTTCATTTTTGCAACTGAAAATTTCTTGGCATTTACAGAAGAAAGAAAAGAAAGAGGATGGAAAGAAGGCAGGCAGGTAGGAAGGGAGGGAGGGAGGAATTAGCCTTTTCTTTGCACTTGCTCCTCTAACTAAATCAAGCCCAGAACTTCTAAATATAACAATAAAGGAAGAACCGCTCATAGGCTTTAGTCCATACATTCACCTCAAATTATTCAAATGAGACTTCGCTAAAGCCTAGGGGAGAACACAAAAGAAATAAAAATGAAAAGTTACATTGGCGTAGTTAATCTGACTTAAAAATAATAGTTCATTCATTCATCATTTATTATCTAATATGTCCCAGGCATTCCTCTAGGTCCTAGGGATCTAGAAGTACATGAAACAGACAAAATATTTTTTCTTCATTGTACTTCCCTTCTAGTATGAAGACAGACAATAAATAAGATTATGATAGTAGCTGAGGAAATTAATAGATCATGAACAGGAACTGGGTGAAGAAGCAAAGTCATTTTAGATAGGGTAGTCAGAGAAGGCTTCACAGAAAGAGTTTAGTGTTTTGATCATATGATGCTGTGACCTAGAGGAAATCAAAGCTCAATCTCTAAAGACGTGCCACCCTTTTGGAGTGCATTCCTTTTTGGCTGGATTATCTTGGCTTTCTTCCTTGTGACTACATTTATATGACCCTTGTCCTTATGGAGTGCCCCCAACCTCATATACGCTGCTCAGATTTCAGACCCACAGACTATTTTACCTTAAGTTCCCTGTCTGGAGAACGAACACAGAGAACGCCAATTCTCTGTAAAGGAAACACACCACATTTAAGTACAACCCACATTCAAGAGGTTCACTGGGATCGCAGGAGGAGGCTGTTCTGCTATACTTGCTCAATATTCAGATTAAGAAGTAATCATTTATCACAAACGTTACTGAGACTCCTTGGTTGACTATCTTAGGAATGATTTGAGATGTGCAGCCTTGTGCCTTCACTTGAGACAATAAGGAAATACGTAACTAATATTTTAAGTTAGGGAGAAGGACTCACTTCCACACCTCCTGCTATTAGGAAACGCTTGAGCTCTAGGAAATATATTTCAAAACCATTATCCATCTTCTCTGTTGTAGGCAACTAATGTAATGTAGTTTACACATGCACAGAATTGCATTTTATTCTGCCTATGTTTAACAATGCAGACCGCAGATTGGTTGCAACAATTTGCTGTCTTACAAAAGTATGTAACAAATGTGAATTTTTAAGTCACAGATAATTTTTCTTCGCACCCATTGACCAACCTCTCACATTCCTCCCCTCCCGATTCTCTGGTATCGACTCTTCGGCTCTGCTTCTATTAAATTTTTTTTTTAAATTTCACATATGAGTGAGATTAACCCTGATTTGATCATTATACAACATATATAGTATTAAAACATCAAATCGTACCCCATAAGTATTTACAATTACAATGTGTCAATGGAAATAATATAAATATTTTTAAAGATACTTTTCCTTGAATGAACAATTGATCTGCAACATTTTGTCATGATGCCTCTACTTTGGCTTGGATTGTCAAGACTCTTCTCTCTTCATTTAAAATTTGATAAACTGTGACTTTAAAATGTTTCAGGCCCAGTCTCAAGGAAATTTCCTGTTACAGTACGTAAAATGAAACCATAATAACGGCAGTAATTTCAGAGGACATAGAATATGTGGCTAGAAATACATAATGTGTGCTTAATAAATGATGCTAGCCCTTTTAAAGCAGAAAACAAAACTACATTAACTATGATATTAAAAAAACTAAATGTTATGTCATTCGCTCATCTTAGTAAAATGGTTAAAAATTTTGTATTTTCATATGATAATAAAGACATATCATATTGACTAAGGACTACCAATATGTCTTAATAAAATAAACTCACCTTGTAAAATGCTATGTAGCTTTCTCTACTTTTTTTTAGAGCCTTAAACTAGATTTTCATAAACCAGGTTTTATCAAATGTTCTTAACATTTTCTTAATCTTACTACAGACTATCTTTAATAGTAGATATCATGGTTATGAAGCTGTGAATGAAAATTAAGATATTGCTTAAGTGCAAATAATTTTAAAGTAATTAATTTTTGGTCTATTAACATTGTCTAATAGTCTCCTACATATTCAATTCCTTAGAAGGCTGTTTGATTCTCATGTATTTAAAACAAACTTTAAAAGTAAATTATCTAGAAACTACTTAAAATGTAAAAACATACTGATGTTTTAATAATTAATGAGTAGTCCTATAATGTCTGTGTTCTTAAATATTGAAACTCAGCATTGGTTTATTGTCAAACAGAAATCTATAATTACACTATGTAGTAACTGTACAATTTTAATGCTGTTAAAATTTACAATGAATTCTGCAACACTGCCTTGCTGAGTAACTCTTAACTCAGTAAATACTGAATCCTGGGCAGGAAAACAATTGCAAAGTTAAGTATGCATTTAAAAAGATTAAAGGAATTAAGATTACTGAACCCCATGAAAATATTAATAAAACACTTATCTTAATGACTGTTAAGTGAAGTAGCAAATATCTTAATCTATGACTAAAATCACTGAAAATTGCTTTCAAATTTTTTTATCTAGCAGAAGAAATAAAATTAAACTTAAATATTTCTATTTATGTCTAAAAATTCAAAAAGTGGAATAAATAAGACAGTAACCTGTTATTAGATTATGAAATACTTTAAAGTTTTTATAACTGAACAAAAGGTATTTATCAGGTTTTTGACACGAGTTAACATTCTTTAACTCTCACTGTGCCAAATACTTTGTATATATCATTCTATTTATTTCCTCATGATAATCCCATGAAGTATTAAAAATTATATGTTTTACCCAGGAGTAAAGCAACTTATAAAGGGTCATATAGCTAGCATATGATGCACCTGAAATTTATACTCAGAGGGATCATTCACATGAATGAAATTAATAATCTAAGTCTCCATTGCTTCATGGTTTTCTCCCTAATGCTTTTTAGATTCTAGGATGACATTTTGGTAAAAGGTGATAGCATATCTTTTTTAATGTAGCCTTAAATAGTTATGTGTTAATATTTCCAAAAGTTCAACTCTTAAAATATTTTTAATGTATATATTAAGAAATTAAATGATGACCTAAACAACCTTATAGTCATCCTTCCAGAATTTTTTTCTTCATTTTCTGGGAGATTTTCATAAGATGAAAAAGGACTTAATGCTATCAGCATCAAAAGACATTCCAAGTGAAATCTGAAGACACAAAGGGGCAACATATTGTCTATCAATATGTACAAATATGTGTACTAAATTGCCACGAACTTGGTGGCTGAAATCCAGACATATTTATTATTTCTCAAGAGTCTAGGGATGGCCTAGCTGGGGCCTCTGCTTCAGGGTCTCTCACATGCCTGCAATTAATGTGTTGATGGGGGCTGCAATCTCATCTCATGGCTCAACTGGGGAAGAATCTGCTTCCAATTTTACATGTCAGAATTTAGTTCCTTGGAGATTGTCAGGCTGAAACCTTTAGTTTCTTGTCTGTTTGCCAGCATTTTCTTATGTGGCCCTCTCCATAAGGCAGCCTACAACATGGCAGTTTGCTTCACCAATGCCAGAAATGCAGAGAGTAAATAGAGTTCCTGCTAACAAGATGTAATATAATCATCAAAGTGACACCTCATCATTTTTGTCCTATTTTCTGGATTAGAAGCAAGTCATAGGTTCTACCTACACTCAAGGGCAAGGGGTCACACCTAGACATAAATATCAGGAAGTAGGGGTAATAGCCTTTTTAGAGTCTCTTTGCTACAGAAAATAATGTGGAACCAAACAAGTAAACAATCCTTGGAAATAGCCAAATAAAAACCACTTTTTATCAATAAATTCCCAAACAATTAAACCAGGAGGCACTTTCTGTAATGCTCACCCACTCTTCTCTATCTCATTTCCCCTACCTTTATATCTCAGCTCAAAGATCACTTTCCTCAGAGAAGACTTCCCTGACCACCCCTTCCTGACCACCAGTGAATCAGTTGCCTATTCTTTGCATTTATTCTCTGTACATCTCTCAAATACACTTGTAATCTCACATTTGTTAATTTTTGTGTGGGCTATCTTATTAAATCCTGATTAAGCTGATGAGGAAAGAAACTGTATAGAGGTTTTGTGGAACATTGTATCCCCATCACCTAGGACAGTGTGTAACATAAGATGCACAACAAAACGTGAGGGAAGGAACAGAGGTTAAGGACACTAACCTGGAAGTCAGGAAACCTAGTTTCCAATGTGGGTTCTTTCACTTACTAGCTGTTCTGTTTCACCCAAGTCCAATCATATTTCCAAGCCTCAGGTTATTCATGTGTGAAAGGTCATTTTCTAATGCAAATGGTTGGAACTTTGATGCAATTTTTTGATTTTATACTGTTGTTAATAGTTACATTTTTATTGTATTGAAATTTTTTCCCCAGAATCTTTTGGCAGCTGCTGCCTTCATCTTTTGACCAGTGATTTTGAGATATGCCCAAACAGTTTGCAACAGGCAAATTTAGAGGATAAGAGAAGTAATGTGAGAAGCTTAAATCAACATTTGTAAATTACATATATTTTAAGAAACACTCCTGATGCTCTTCAGAGTTTGTGCATTTGAATGCCACAGCTATGATATAATTCAAAATGTTTTCCTTTCCCCTAGACAAATGAAAACCTCACCAGAAAACAAACTACATTACACACATGTTGTTTCCTTTCAAGATGTTGGCATCCTGCCTTCCCCTTCAGCTGCCCAATCCCCTCTATGGACACAGAGGGTTTGTTAAATTAAATGGTAGCATAGTCCTAGACCAATGATATCTTGAAACAAATATAAAGCTCTAAAAAAGAAGAGAGGCATGTTAGAATTCTCTATGTAACAGAGAACTAGACTATTATGTAGAAGAATATTTTAGCATCACAATAGTACAGCTGACATGCTTGGCCTGCTTTCATCATGACTGAATGTTACCCTTATTTAGTGATTACTGAGAAGTTCTCATACCAAGCAGTGTTAAGTTCAGTTTTTGAAGTGTATCTTATGTATGCAATAAATAACTCTGCATTGTTTTCAGTATCAATTCTTTGACATGACCAGTGCTAGAAGAAGATAAATACTGCATGGGAAACCCAGGAGCAGTATGTTACTCTACCATTCCCTGAAGTCATATGTCAAACTCATGGTTATTGAAATTTTCCTCATAGATTGTTCCACAGTTAACAGTGCACAGTGTCCTGCGGGTAACTAATGATTCTCCTGTAGCCTTTTCCAGCTTACTCATTTATAGTAGTTTAGGACAGAAGGGGAAAATTGGTTGACAGTTGAGGCCATGAATACTTTTTACAATTGTTCTTTCAATCCACAAATAACATGTTCTCTTAAAACGTTTTTTTTTTTTAAATATAAGTTTCTACTGTTCTTAGTAGTGTGTCTTAACTGAGAGACTGTGGTTATGGAATTTGTGTTTTTCTTTGTTACTGTGTGGCATTTGTGTCAAAATCACCCTGGTACAGAAATGTAGATAGGAGAAATGGCAAGTGCAGAGAGGTGGGGAGCATCAGTTTCATGTTTATTAGTACTTTGGGGTTAGAAAAATCCACGGGCCAAGACCTTAAATGATACCTCTAAGAGTGCGATTCTGAGACACACTGGAGGTGAGGTATAGTATGCTGCTCATTGAAAAGACATCTGAGCCAGAGTAAGTGGTTGATTTCCCACTTCGTTCATCTGGTATACAACAGAAGTACACAATCCCAGAAAATAGGCTAGCCTACTCTTCTGTTAGGAGATGATGTACCTCCTGAGGTGCATATACACAAGAAAACAACAGACATAATGGGTAACATTTAGTGAGTATTTACTATGCATGATGCACTGTTTGAGTGTTTTATATGTTAACTCATTTCATAATCATAGTAGCACTCAGTAAAAGGTGCTATTATTAGCACTGCTGTATAAATAGAAATCTTTAGATGTCATAAAGAACATTCCTGCTGAAAAAAAAATTATATGCCCTATGTTTACAGTCTGCCTAGATAGTCAACAATTGACTATTCATAGTTATTTATTTCCTTGGTTTGAGTTAACATGTTCCATAATATAATCTCAGATGCTCCTTGAGTTACTAAATTGTAACAACAATTCACAGTAGTCTTCCTGGGTCATACTGTGTTTTTTCTTTACTAACTCATAATTTTAAAACATAATTAGATTTTCTTAACTGCTTTGCAAAACAGAATGCTGACTAAATACAGACTAGACCAATGCACTTTAATAAATATTAAAATATTACTGTTATGATATTCTTTTATCAATGAGGCCAACTAATACTTTGAAGCCGATTTTTCATAAACTTATTGCTATCTATATAGCTATATCTATATACAAGAGTAATATAAAATATATATCTGAATAAGTCCAAATCACTTTTTAGTAAGTGTAGGTAGTAATTCTAAGACATAAAAGCAAATATATAGAGATATATTTCTAAAACATACATATATATGTGTGTCAGAGAGAGAGAGAGAATAAGACAGAAGAGAGGGCACATGACAGAGCTCTGCAAATAGTAGTTCAGCTAATATTTAGAGAATGTCTACTGACACCAGGTACTGTTTTAGGAACTGAATGTAAATACACATATCAGCAAATATGTGTTTGCTACCATTGTCTTGGTTTCATTAAAAATTTGTGATTAAAACTTGTTAATGGAAGAATTTGAAAAGTACATGGAAGGAATTATGTTTTGTTCAAAAAGATTTTTCTCTAATGGGATCAATTTATGTTTTGCTAGTGACTAATATTTTTGGTTAAATATAGAAAATACAACAAAGCTGTGTTTCTCAAAATATTTTCAGTGGAGCACTGTTGTCTCAAATTCTGGAAAGCGGAAAATGAATCTAGAAAATGTGAATGCCTTTGGTTATTCATGATGCACTTTACCATAATAAATAAAGACACCTATTTAACTTTGTTTTACCCATTCTTTCCATTAAAATATAAGCAGATTGTAAATAATTAAAGAATAAATATATTTCATCTAATTTAGACTGCCATCAATTGAAAGATCACCATTATATAATATATCTCTAAGAAAAAATTGTTTAAACTATAATGCAAAACTTCCTTTTTACCTAGAATTACTTTGTCCCTATTAAAGGAACTCTTTTAGACATAACTAATTCAAAACCAGCTTTTAAATCATATGTCATTCATGTATATACATAAAAATATAAGCAAAGGAATTGATCAAGCAGCTTTATATTTGCAGGATGACTCTTTTGAATCACTTTTCAATGCAAATTAACTGATGTTCATGTGTTTCCTACCCACTGTCATTCTCAGTGCCATTAAGAAGATTGACAATCCAGGCTATCTTAAAATCATGATTCAGTATTATGCCGAGGATATTCTTTCAAGTCCCTGAAACCATTCAGGAAATTTTTATCTTGGTACTTTTTTATTTTACCAGAAGGGATCAAAGGAAGCTTTTTCAAACAACAATTAAGATGCATTAAAATGTCCCCTAATTTAAATGGCCATAATTATCTACTGAAACTGCAGTTGGCTACTGATTTTAGAGATGGGAAAACATATTTGCACATGCTAAAGCAGTGACGACTACAATAAAGTTGCTTTCTCACCAACAGCAATGGTAAGATATCATTGATTATAAAACATAGCACTATTTCAGAAAGGTTCAAATAAGATAGTATGTGGCATATAACTGAAGAAACAGTTATATCTAACTAGCTTCCTGCAGCACTAGTGATGGATGGGGCATAATTTTAAAGCACTTTAGGAAATATTTTCGTTTGTCAGTCAATTGCACACTGAAATCTTCTGGCTTGTATTTAATTGTCAGATCAATAAAGTAACTCATTATATATGAATTCAAGTTTGGGATCTTGGATCAATCACACTGATGTTAGGTCAGGGAGAATTTGCAACGTGAGTCCTATCATTCAAGGGATGATAATTACCATGTTCTGTACCCAGGAAAATATTTCCCTTTATAGGTTTTTCAAACTTCCTCCAGTTTCATGACCCATTCTAGTAGAGTGAACAAGAGCATGGATTTTGATATTAGATAAAAGTGAACAACATTTGACCCTACTTCTGCTATTTTCTAAGTATACTTAATAAAGTTATTTAACCATTCAAAGTCTTAATTCTTTCATCCTTAAAACAAGTAACAATAATAATAGATAAAAATGCTATATAGACTTAATGAGAATGTGTATCCAAAAGTGCTTACTATGTAGTCGGGAACATGAAGTCCCTTAAGTAATAGTTTATCTGTTGTTCCAGTACTTCCGGTGCCTAACTAAACCATACTACTCCATGGAGGGATAGATGAGTGTCCTCTTTCAATAATGGTCCAATATGGCTTTCTACATTCTAAATTCTTATGATACATGGGAAGAACATAGAGGGATACCTCATCAATTATAAAGTTAGCAATATTTGTCAGATATAGGAAGTCAGTTGCTAAGGAAAAACACAGCTTTTCCTGCTTCTGAGTCCACAAAAGAAATTACTCTTGAGATTTCTAATAAAAACAAAATGCAAAACAATAGCAACAACATGTATGATAAGATAGTCAAAGGCCTCAGCATAACACAAAATGCTGGTACAATAACAAGTTTGGTGTCACTATTTTTTTTTGTACTGACTCTCAATATCTTACCAAGACACCAGAAATTCAGTCTTAGGTCCTGCTGGTTGCTGCACAGAAATTCAATCACCAAGACGATGAGTATTGCCAGGGAAGAAGACTTGAAATCAGTGATGCAGCTGAGGAGATGGGAGATAGTCTCAAATTCATCTCCTCAACTGACTAAAATTAGGGGTTTATATAGCAGGGGAAAAAAATGTAACCATGTGTGGGAAAACAGAATAAGGGAGGAGTAAAGAAGTGGAGTTGATCCAAAGGAAGCAGGTGGTAAGTAAGGCAATCATGATGGGTCAGTGGTCTGTAATCTCATTGTCCATATGTGGTGATCTGGTAAGTTTCAGTTCCTTGATACTATCTGGGTGGCCTGATGGTTGGTTTCCTGAGAAAGTACTCAGATAAGACAAATATAACTTTCTCAAGTTTCAAGACTGGGAGGGTCAGTTTTTATGCTTATTCAAAAGAAATGATAAGCATCAGTTCTGTGGGACAATTGGACCAGTTTCAAATGAAAACCAATATCATAATTCCAAATCCTCATTTAGACTTGATAGGGGTCAAGATAATGCTGAAATATACAGCTATATATTAGACTGAGTTAATTCTAGATAAAATTTTGATAGCCTGCAGACTGTTCAGTCTGTGTTTGTCTCAATGGATATCAAATTGTTCTTTTATTTTAAAAGACTACTGCAAATACTCACTTTTCTTATTTCCCATATTCTCAATGATCTTGGACCAAGCATTTGAATATGAGATCTTTATTGTCACACTGATCTGAAGTTTGAGGTAATTGCCTAGAAAACTCAGCCTCAAGACCTGCTGTAACTTTTGACTGTGGATATTAGAGTTAAATAAATTGAAAGTTGTCTGATAATCCTCTTCCTGTGTGACAGCTCTGTGCAGAAGCTATGATTTTGTAAAATTCATTATCTCATTTTTACTCCATTAAAATAAAATTGTGGTAATAATAGTAAATGATAAATTCAACACATAATCACTATGTATTATTAGTTGGAATAGTCAATCAGCCAGTTAATGTAGTTCTGTCCACTGACATGCTAATGAGAACTTATGAGCCTGGGTAATTTGTATGGACATAGGGAATAGATAAAAAGGTAGATTAAGGGAATAGTTTTAAATTTAAAAACAACAATGATAATTCCAAGAAATCGCCTAAACCTCTGAAACAATACAGTATCATTTATGTACTTACAGGCTTATTCATATTTTTAATTGACAAGTTTTAACAGTAATCATAAGGCACAATGTGATGTTTTGAGATTACACATACAGACACAAACAGTATGGAATAAATAAATCAAGCTAATTAACATAGCCATAACCTTGCTTACCTATTATTTTTAGTGATAATGTCCTAGTTATTTGAAAATACACAATGCATCGTTGTTGACTATAGTCACCTGATGAGCAATAGATCCCAAAACGTGTTTCTCCTATCTGAAATTTTATAGTCTTTGATTAATAACTCCTCATTCCTCCCTCCTCATGCCTGTAGCCTGTGGTAACCATCATTCTATTCTCTACTTCTGTGAGTACAACTGTATTAGAATCTACACATAAGTGAGGTCATGTGGTATTTGTTTTTCTGTGCCTGGTTTATTTCACTTAGCATAATGTCCTTCAGCTTCATTCATGTTGTCAAAATGATGGGATTTTCTTCCTTTTTAAGGCTAAATAGTGCTTCATTGCATAGAATACAACACTCTCTTTATCTGTTCATCTGTTGATATACATTTAGGTTGATCCCATTTCTTGGCTATTGTGAATAATGCTGCAGTGAACAAGCGAGTGCAGATATCCCTTTGACATATTGATTTCATTTCCTTTATATAAACTCAGAAGAGGAATTACAGTGTCATGTGGTAGTTCTATTTTTAGTTTTACAAGGAAGCTCCATACCACTTTTATAATGGCTGTACTAATTTATATTTCCATCAACAATATCTAAGAATTCCCATTTCTCCACATCCTCTCCAACATGTGTCTTTTATATTTCTGATAAAAGTCACTCTAACAGGTGCGAGACGATACCTTATTGTGGCTTTAATTTGCACTTTCCTAATGATTAGTGATGTAAGCATTTATTTCATGTGTTTATGGGCCATTTGAATGTCTTCTTTTGAGAAATGTTTGTTCACGACCTTTGCCCATTTTTAATCAGGTGTTCTCTTGTTTTTGAGTTGAGTTCCTCATGTATTTCAGATTTTAATCCCTTATCAGATCCATGGCTTACATTTGTAGGCTTTCTCTTCACTTTGTTAATTGTTTCCTTTGCTGTGCAGAAGCTTTTTAGTTGGAAACCATCAAACTTGTCCATTTTTGCTTTTGTTGCTTGTGCATTTACAGTCAAATCAAACAATTTTTGTCCAGACAAATATGGACTATTTCTCCTGTGTTTTAGTACTTTTACAGTTTCAGATCTTAAATTTAAAATTTTAATCCATTTTGATTTGATTTTTATATTTGGTATAAGATAAGAATAAGATCTAATTTCTTCTTTTGCATGTGGATCTCCAGCTTTCCCAATACCATTTACAATTTGGTATTTAGATGCAATAGAATACAATAATTGCTAGCTGGATTAACAATGGCTTATTATTATATTATTTTAAAAAGGAGAAAAATGCAGATTCTTATTCATGAAGTTCATAATTACAATTACTGAGAGTAAATAACAAAATAAAGTCCACTTTCTATTTGGAATTTAGAAAATATCACAAAAAAATTATTAGCTTAAACTGTATATACTGGTCTACTCCTGTAATGTGAATATATATCATTAATATGACATACATAACAAACTTTATAATCAACTGCATAGTTTTGACTGTTAAAGGTAAAAAGGAGCTTTATCTCAATTTTTTATTATTTCATATATTTTAATTACAATAGCTGTATAATAAACATTCATGTGGCTTAACATTTTTCCATATTCTTACATAGACATAATTATTTTAATACGAGAGTTGTATTTTGTCAACCAGATATAACTTTGATTTGCTTAAGCATTCTTTTTGTTTTGTTTTGTTTTTGTTTTTGGGGGGGTGGTTTTTTGAGATGTGGTCTCGCTCTGTCACCCAGGCTGGAGAACAGTGGTGCCATCTCGGCTCACTGCAACCTCCACCTCCCGGGTTCAAGTGATACTCCTGCCTCAGCCTCCCAAGTAGCTGGGATTACAGGCACCCACCACAACTGGCCAGCTAATTTTTTGGTGTTTTTAGTAGAGACAGGGTATCACCATCTTGGCCACGCTGGTGTTGAACTCCTGGCCTCAAGTGATCTGCCCACCTCGGCCTCCAAAATTGCTGGGATTATAGGCATGAGCCACAGTGGCCACTTAAGCATTGTTTATTGAATAAAAATAATTTCCCTTTTAAGTTATGCTGCAATATGTATTCTTGTGCATGAAATTGTAAGCTTTGGCATGCATTAGGGTATTCTTTCTTCAGGTACTTTGATTTTAGAGAGACAGAACTATTAGACTTACTAGACATCTATTAGGGGAAGAATTTAACTGAAATAATTATTATCATTGAAATGCCAGGGGTTTGGTCTAAGGCCCATTGCTTGCCTCACAGAAGTCCAATCCCTGAGACAATGAGTATTGCCAGGGAAGAAGGCTTTAACTGGGTGCTGCAACCAGGGAGACAAGAGAGCAGTCTCAAATCCATATCCTCAATTGACTAAAATTAGAGGTTTATATAGCAGCAAAAAAAATGTAATTATGTGTAGGGAAAACAGGAATTAGTGAGGGGTATTAAAGAGGAGCTGGTCAACAGGAAGCAGTTGGTTGGTTTAGGCAGTCATGATGGGTGAGGGGGTCTGGTGTCTCACTGTCCAGATGCAGTGATCTGGTAAGTTTCAGTTCCTTCAAAATGTCTGGGTGGCCTGATAGTTGATTTCCTAAGAAAGGAACTTGGATAAGACAAATACAATTTTCTCAAGTTTTAAGACTGAGAGGGTGAATTTCTATGTTTATATAAAAAAATCATAAATATCAGTTCTATGGGACAGTTGAGCCAGTGTCATTATGATCTTCCATCTAATATCTATTTAAAATTTAAAACATGATTTCTCTAAAGAGTGAATTTAATACTATAATGCAATAGACTTACTATGAATAAAAGACAGATTTTTTTATACTTAAATTCAGGGTGCATGTACAGATTTGTTACATGAGTAAACTTGTGTCAAGGAGGTTTGTTGTACAGATTATTTTATCACCTGGGTATTAACCCTAGTACCCATTAGTTATTTTTCCTGATACTCTTTCTCCTCCCACCCTCCATCCTCCAATAGACTACAGTGTGTATTGTTCCCCTCTATGTGTCCACATGTCCTCATGAGTTAACTCCCACTTATAAGTGAGAGCACGTGGTATGTGGTTTTCTGTTCCTGTATTAGTTTGCTAAGGATAATGGCTTCCAGCTCCATCCATGTCCCTGCAAAGGACATGATCTCGTTCTTTTTTATGGCTGCATAGTATTCCATGGTGTATATATACCACATTTGCTTTATCTAGTCTATCATTGATGGACATTTAGCTGGATTCCATGAAAAGACAGCTTATTTAAAAAAAATAGGAGCCCATAAATTTTATCATTTACCTATTAATGAAACCTGCAAACCTGGAATTAATTAAAATACTCTTTTGTTGGTACTCATTATGCATCTTTATTTCATTGTCAAAGCCTTTACATGGCTTTTGCAAGTTCCATTGAAAGACTTGCCTTAAAAACTTATAAATTTTTGCCACAGCGTGTGTCACCTTCTAATGTATTTACTGTTTATTTAGGTCTTTCTCCAGTAGAATATAAACTCCATGGAGGAAGATAATTTTGTTTTGTTCACAGATATATCCCAAGTGCCTAGAAAAGTCCCTTGTACAGAGCTTGACCACAGTAAATATCTGTTACCTTAATCTTGGCTTGGCCTCTGCTGTCTATCTTTAGATAGTCTTCTCTTTTACGCTCACACTCTATATCTTTCCATATGTGGATTTATCTTACTTCTATATTGGTGTCACTTTCATAGGCCTTTGTTGTATGGTAGCCCCAAAAACTCCAGGCTTAACTCATCTATACAGCTACCCAGTTCCAGAGGAAATAGAGTTTCAACTTTCTAATAGCCCTAGTGTATTCTCAAGGGTATGCTTTTATTAGGCTGACTGGTTTATTTGCCCATTCCTGAGTCAGTCATTGTTATCTGGGTTATATGTAAGGAATTGAAATAGAATGCTCTAGTTATTTTGGGTGCTAATCAAAATCTGGACTGAGCAAAAGCAGGATCCCTTGGAGCTTGTTAGAAATATGGACCCTAAGGCCCCCACTCCAGACCAACTGAATCAAATTGCATATTAACTAGATTTTCTGGTGATGTGCCTTTAGTCTGTGCTCACAGATGGAACTGGAAGAGTGGGGAAGGCAATGAAACCAGCCCCATCCAAGCTGAAAGTGAAGTGGGAGTGGTTTCCCAGAGAAACTCAAGTGCTTTTACCAGAGGGCAGAATGGATGTCAGGCGTGCAAAACAACAGCTATCCAATGCAATATATGATGTGTATTAAGCAATTATTATATTCCAGTCATTGTACTAAACCTTTTCCAGGCATTATTTATTTAGTAGTCACAATATCTTGTAAGATATTATCAGGTAGGATACCTTATCCTTCAAAAAAGATAACTCATCATCCAAAGTTTTTGTTGAGAAGGCAGTGAGCAAAGTGATCTGAAATATGATATCAGATAGTAATAAGTGCCATGGAAAAAAATTAAGCACGATAGAGGGATAAAGACAGACCTAGGAAGATGAGAGAAAGTGATCAATTTTGATAGGAAGGTCAGAATAAACCTGAAGAAGTAAATTTTCAGCAAAGACTTGGACCAAGTAAAGAACAACTCATGAAAGTTGCAGGGTAACACCATTACAGACAGAAAAAAAGAAGTATAAAGCCTTGAATTGTTGAATTATGAATGAACGTGGGATGTTTGAAGAAATGTAAAGAATGAAAAAAAGTGGGGCTAGAATGAAGATGTTACTGAAACACAGGGGTTCTGTCTGTGTCCTGCTGCTTGCTGCACTGGAAGTCAATCACCAAGACAACCAGTATTTACAGGGAAGAAGGCTTTAATAGGTTGCTGCAGCCAAGGAGATGGGAAATCAGTCTCAAATTCATCTCTTCAACTGACCAAAATTAGGGGTTGATGTAGCAGGGAAGAAATGTAACCATGTATGGGAAACTAGGAATTAGGGATAAGGAAGAGGAATTGATCAACAAGAAACAGGTGGTTAGGCAATCATGACAGGTGAGGGGGTCTGGTGTCTCACTGTCCAGATGCGGTGATCTGGTAAGTTTCAGTTCCTTTATATTATCTGGTTGGTTTCCTGAGAAAGGAACTTAGATGAGACAAATGTAATTTTCTCAAGTTTCAAGACCAGGAGGGCCATTCTTTCATGTTTATTCAAAAGAAACCATAAACATCACTTCTGTGGGACAATTGGGCTGGTTTCAAAGTGAGTATAAATGAATTCAAAAAGCCAGCCAAGAGCTATTTTCTAAAGGATCTTCAGGCAATGGTTAAGACAGATTCAATTATTCTTAGTGTTATGGAAAATCACGGTACACTTTTGGTCAGGGGAGTAACATGATTTGATTTGTATTTTAAATATATTGACTAAGGAACAGGCAATAGTGAATAAAATATAGGTAGAGGAATGTAAAATGTTTTGGGGCTAGTTAGGAGACTATTGCAATGCTAGTGTAAGCAAGAGATAGGAGAAGTTAGGACCAGGATGGTAACAGTAGAGTGGCTGAGGATATATTGTGAAGTAGAGCCAACAGGAATTCCTAATGAGTTAAAAATGTATATGTGCGAGAGAAAGAAAATTATTTGTTTTTCCTTGAGAAAATCAGTGGATATTTGTGCTAGATACTGAAATGAAGAACCTTGGAGATGGAGCAAGTTGGAGAAACAAATTTTTGACTTGTCAAATTTGAGATGCTTAGTATAGATCCCAGTAAAATTATTGGGTAAACAATTGGATAACCTACTTTGAAGAGGTTTGAGTTGCAGATAAGAGTTTGGGGAACAAGTAAGATTACATATCAAACCATGGATCTGAATAATCTAATTCAGGCTCTACAGTCACTAAATCATACAGCACAAGAAAAGTCTCTCCATCTTGTAGCTGCACCCACTGGGATACAAGTCCTCCTCAGTCCCTGTGGCAAAGGAAAAGAAAGCTCTCATACTTGCTTTCCTATCTTTAAAATCAGAAGTGACATAACCCCTTTCTCTCACAGTTTGTTGGCCAGGACCAGTTAGATGTCCTTACCTAACTGCAGGGACCTGAGAAATGTGGAGGAGTACATGGAGTGTTTGTGAGGACTGTTGTCTCTTAATATGTCTCACTTCTAAGAAGAAAAACATGGATTCAGAGAGAAAAAGCCATTCTCACCAAAATGTTAAGATAGCCCACCATATTTTTTTGTACATTTCTAAAGGTAATTTAGCATAATTATCTAGGATTAGAACAAAAGCAAGTTGCAGTGGAAATGCCAGGGGGCGGCTTAGAGGTGGCAGGATAAGAAGGCTTTTGCTTTATTCAGTAATCTCTATAATTCCCCATTAGCCACTTTTTGCCAAATCTGAAGTGGACAATTAATGTTTTCTCTGACCTCATATAAAATGGTATGCAAGGCCGGGCGCGGTGGCTCACGCCTGTAATCCCAGCACTTTGGGAGGCCGAGGCGGGCGGATCACGAGGTCAGGAGATCGAGACCATCCCGGCTAAAACGGTGAAACCCCGTCTCTACTAAAAATACAAAAAATTAGCCGGGCGTAGTGGCGGGCGCCTGTAGTCCCAGCTACTTGGGAGGCTGAGGCAGGAGAATGGCGTGAACCCGGGAGGCGGAGCTTGCAGTGAGCCGAGATTGCGCCACTGCACTCCAGCCTGGGCGACAGAGCGAGACTCCGTCTCAAAAAAAAAAAAAAAAAAAAAAAAAAAGGTATGCAAATGAAACTTTAAATTTTCATTTCAATCAGATAACTGCTCAGAAAAACCTTCTAGGACTTTATCTTTTAGAGCAGAGGTTGGCCACTGTGACCCATGTGCCAGAACCAGCTCACTGTCCATTTTTTAATGACCCAAGATCTGATTTTAAGTACTTGAGGAAAAGTCAAAAGAATAGTATTTCATGACGTGAAAATTATGTGAAATTCATATTTCATTGTCCATAAATAAAGTTTTATTGGAAAACACATGCACAAAGAAACCCTTCTAGGAAGATGTTATGGAGCCAGAACTACCAAATCTTAACATGATGAAAAAGGGAGGATGTTGATATTAAATAAGCCACCTCAATTAAATCCACCCACCTCAAAAATGAAAACAGAACAGTAAAATTGACTATTGAATTAAGTCCTCTGAAGATACAGTGTTTTGCCTCCCCACCAGGCACAATGTCATCTCTTTATATGATTTTGAGGAAAATGTATTCAATTATTTCAACTGTAATAATACTTAACATAATGAGAAATTCTTCTAGTGATTTATTTTTGTAAATACTAAATTGTTTTGAGCTTCTTATTTTGAAGGTTGCATTCCGGATTGGAAGTTCTGAATAGAATTATTTCGAAAGCAAATATTTATCTGTTTAAAAAGCCCAAAGACCTTGTTTTTTCTGCCCAAACACCAGCTAGGAAAATCAATATTTTCTCTTGGAAGGAAATGGTTTGGCTGCTTCAGCATCAGAATGCTTTCTAATAACACTATGGCATTTAATTTTGAAAAAACAAAAGTTCTGAAGAGACAAGAAGGTCGGAGCTAGTGAATGATGAGTTTTGAGTGTTGCTGCTTTGGAAAATAGTGGCTTGGTAATGGCATTAGTTAAAGACATTTAGATTGTCTAAACACTTGCTCTATTTTAGACAACAATTGGCTGGCTTTGTTACTTGGTTGGGATAGAATATCCTAAATACTAGGCCATTTTGTGCCAGCATGTTGCATAGTGGCCTTAAAGAAGAAAGTTAAACATTGAAATATTTTCAGAATATTCTAAGAATAATTGCTGTCTTGTCACAGTTATTACTTATTTCAATCAAATGCCAATATTAATATTGAGCAAACCAAGTTGTCGTAAAATTTTTTATAAAAATTAGTAGCATTATTATTCCTCAACTAGAAAACATTCTTTTCTGATTTTCAGTGGAAATATTCATTTAAATATCAAATATTCTATTATGTGAAATAAAATTAATCATTTTTCATATATACATGTGAATATATTTCTGTTCATTTGTTTGTTAGTTTCTTTACACTTAGATATTTGCTAACTTTTTCAAGGACAATGGTAGCTTAGAATAACTCAATAAATCAATAAAAATTAAGTTTATGGTAACTAGATAGAAGTTCAAGAAAAAGAACATATGTACAGTCTATTACGTGAATTATTCTATATAAATTTCGTATAAAATCTACAGGTGGTGAATAAGTGACTCTATAGGGAAAGTGTGAATATTAACAAAAACATTGGCACTACTAGAATTTTTTATTAAGGAGAAACAGACATATTACACAGCTCAGTTAAGCTTTGATTATGAGATACTAAATACCAATTTACATTTAGTTAATTAATTATTCAATCTAAGTAGTACAAGTACTTGGTGATAAATATTTGTATTTGAAAAGTCATAACCAATGGGAGAAGTGTTATTTATATCTATTTAATGTACTAATTCGATGGTAGTAAAAATCCAGTGGAGTAGCAGCTGCATATGCAATTGAATTTGCTGGAATTATGAAGAAGAAAACTGATAGCAAAGTAAATGTAGTAAAACAGTACTAAAACAAAAATAGCACAAACTGATTTGTGTTTCTCTGAAAAATTCCAGGTGTTGTCAAAGTGGATTATGGAGATGTGTCAGTCAGAAAAACACTAAGAGAAAATCTGAAGTGTAAGCCCTTTTCTTGGTACCTAGAAAACATCTATCCGGACTCCCAGATCCCAAGACGTTATTACTCACTTGGTGAGGTATGAATTATTTATTTTGGTTAAGTTATAAATATATTTTGCAAATGGAGCAATTTCTAAGGAGCTCAGTATTTTTTATGTTATGAAAATGCTGTAAGGGATTTTTAATTAGATCTGTTTTAAACAACTTCTCATATTTCAAGGACCATGAAGTCTTCATCATAAGGAATCATAAAAATGAGCAGAAATTTTAACATTGAACAAAAAAAAAATTTTTTTAACAGTTCTAAAGCTTTTGGTCATTTACGTTCTTAAAATTTACTGTGTACCCCAAACACCTTTTGTTCATGTGGGTTACAACTGTTATTAATATTTACTGTATTTAAATTAAAACTGAGAACTTTAAAACCCATTTTTTACTAATTAAACGTTATATAATAAACAATTACATGTTAATGTAAGTAACATATTTTTGAAAAGTTAATATATTTTTTCCAAGCAAAATCAAGTAATGATAAGAGAGTACCATTGATTGTATTTTTGTAAATTGCATTAATGTCTGGCTTAATAGAAGATAGCTGGATTGTCATATGTGCTTCGGTATTCCATCTATTGCTGCAATACAAGGCAGTCTATTACAATAGCCTCTAGAAAACTCTTATACACTCAGGAGAATGTGAAAGTGAAAACTGCAAGTAATATCTTGGTACTATAACAAAAGTGGTATTGACGTTGTAGACACTCTGAGAACCATTGATCTGCACCATTCTTTTCTACATATCTATTTTATCTTGAAATACAAAAATGACTTCATTATAACTATACAAACTGTATATAATGTATGTATAATATATAATATATTCATACTATAGATAATTATATATAATATATTCCTGTATTCATCTCATAGATTGATGATTATATATAATATATTCCTATATAGCATATATATCTCAATTGGTCAAAACAAGAATTATATTTCCTTTATGAATTATATCCTCCATATTGATAATTTTCCACTGAATAGGAATCAAAGCTACCTTAATATTGGTTGTGATTAAAGCATTTCAAGAGCAATAAATAGGCCGGGAGCAGTGGTTCACGACTGTAATCCCAGCACTTCGGGAGGCCAAGGCAGGCGGATCATGAGGCCAGGAGATCGACACCATCCTGGCTAACACAGTGAAACCCCGTCTCTACTAAAAATACAAAAAAAAACTTAGCCAGGCGTGGTGGCAGGCACCTGTAGTCCCAGCTACTCGGGAGGCTGAGGCAGGAGAATGGTGTGCACCCAGGAGGTGGAGCTTGCAATGAGCCGAGATCGCGCCATTGCACTCCAGCCTGGGCGACAGAGTGAGACTCCAACGACAACAAAAATAAAAGCAATAAATATGCACTTAGGAAATAATTATCAAGTAAACATATTCTTAGATTTAAAATGCCATTGTTGTAGACCATAATGGTAGAATATCTGAAAATGTATATGGTTTAATCTAATACTTTTTTGGGTCATCTGCCTTAATGCTCTGTAACTTTATAAACATATCTTACTTACAATTAACTAGAAAAAATGAAAGAAAAAAATACTTGAGGTGACTGGAACCCTAGCTGAATCGTTTTTAATGACTGATTTAAGTGCCATATTCATGCCTTATTGTCCAAGTCTCCACTTCCTCATTAGCCATGTAAATATCTCTCTATAGAGCTTGATTTACATATATTTAACTTTCATCTGAATAATGTAGTGAAAAATTTCATGTGTAATAGCATTGATTTTACCACTTTCTAAGTGTATGACTTTAGACTAGTCACTTAGTCCCGTACCTCAAAGTATTTTTTTGTTTGTTTTTATTGGAGAAGGAGGTATTGTTGCTATCATTTTCAAATGTGTAACATCCTCATGTTGGCACTGATCTCACAGGGATTTATATTTAATGCAGAAAATATACTACAGTGCTTTTTAAAATAGAATAGTCTTTGCATGTTAGTTATTACAAATCACTGAAGATCTCTGATAAAATATTTAATACCCTTATCACTTTATTGAAAATTTGTTTGAACATTCATGAACCTGACTATATCCTCAGAAGAAAGGAGTTTTTCTGTTCTTCTTATAAAATGTTTCTGTCACTGTTGTCAGTGGACCCAAATCATTAGTAAACATCGATTCCCTTTTCTAAAAGGAGGAATGACCAAGGGCTATAACAGGACAGAAATGAGCAAAGAGGACTTTTGGAAATCCTCTGGGGCCACCAAGGTGACTCCTGAGAAAGACTCAGGGCTCTGTAACAGAATTAGATGTTTAGTTCCAAGTTAAAAATCCAATTTTATGCTGTCCTGCACTATATCAAGGAAACCTAATTCACTTTCTAAAATGTAAAAATAAAATATAGTGTGGGCAAATTCCTTTGTACAAACTACTGATTTCAAATTAGCTATCTTCTAAATGGATCAGGTGACCATATTTTAATCTGTAGAAATACTTTAGGAAAAGATTTTAAAGAGAGGAATTGAGCCTTTCATAGCATCTAAAAGAGGCAGTATGGTGTATTGAAAACATTCCAGCCCCTGAAGTCAAGCATAGGAGGGTTCAAATCCTAGCCTTACAGCTTTCATTTTGAGTGGCATTAAGTATCCTCTCTACTACCTCTGTCAACAGAATAAAGATAATAATACTGGGTTATAGTGATGACTGAAGACATAAAACATCTAGCCCAATGCCTGGCAAGAATAGTAGCCTACCAGTAGTTACACTTATTATATCTACCATTTATTGATTTCCTATGCCAACAGTTATTCTAGGTGCTTTAGATGAATTACGTAGAAATTAGAACAACTTTCATGACTTGGATTTTATTATCGCAGGGTTAATAAGGAAACTGACACACAGAAAGTTTATGTGCTTGGCCTATAGGTCACACAGCTAGTTAACTATTGAAGTTAGGATAAATTACGTGCTAGTCCAACACTAAGGCTCACTTTTTCTTATAACTAGAAGGAGAAATAGATGATTTTATTATATTTTAATCATTCAAAATGTTTTTATTAAATAACTAAGAGCATGAAGCTGAGTGTGTTGGCAGGTGCCCATGGTCACAGCTATTCAAGTGGCTGAGGCAGTAGTATGGCTTGAGTCCAGGAGTTCAAGACCAGCTGAGTAACATAGTGAGAACCCATCTCTATTTAATAAAAATAAAAAAAGAACTTGAGCTATGTCTTAGTCCATTAGGGCTGCTATACCAAAATACCTTAGATTGGGTAATTTATAAATAATATAAATTTATTTGTCATAGTTCTGGAGATTAGGAAGTCCAAGATCAAGGTGCCAACCGATTTAGTGTCTGATAAAGGCTTCTAGGATGGCATGTTGTCACTAAGTCCTCATATGGAAAAAGAGGCAAATGATATATCCTCACATGGACAAAGGGGCAGGACAGCTCCCTTCAACCTCTTTTATAAGGGCACTAATCCCATTCATAAGGATGAAGCCCTCATGACTTACACACTTCCTAAAAGTCTCCACCTCTTGAATCTTCTGATTCATAGTTAGACATGTTATCTCTTGGGCCACTGGTCCTCTTGGCTGCACCTCTTAATACCACTACAATGGGGATTAGATTTCACCATGAATTTTGGATAAAGGCATTCAGACCATATCAAACTAAACCTTTTGTTATATGTTGAAAATACAAAGTCAAATAAGGAAAGACCTTTACTCTTAAGCCTTTCTACCAAAATAGGGATGCAGAGGTGGGTAGGGCAAGAGAGAATCAAACAAGTAAAGAAATTCAGTAGAAGTAAAAGATGCCCTGCATGGGTTATATGGTATAACGGCTGTTTAAAAAACCTGATACATTTAACAGATAAATTAAGTTCTGTGCTTTCTGGAGTATTAATGTACTGTAGTTTTCCACTTTAAAACTAGCCTTAAAGAAATGCAATCCAGCATCTGTTTCCATGGAAACAGAAGGACAAATTCACCAAGCACTACCTCCCAATTCAATTTTGCATGGCCACGTATACATAATTTAAGATGGACATTTTGATAATGAGTTAGAGTTGAACTGTTAATGAACAACAGTCATTTTCTAAAGCTTTTTCCTTCTTACTGCCTGTTATTAACCTTTATTGGAAAAATGTAAAAAGGTAATCTTTCCTTATGTATAAGGCACTTTCTCTTAAATAATTAGAGTCCCAAAGCAATATCAGGTGTTCAAGCTACTTGCCATCAAAACAAGAACAATATTTCTTTGCAGTATATTCATTTGTACTTCTCACTGAATTTGAAATGAAATTGGGTGGCTTTAACAATTTATATATTTTTAACTTCAATATTTTTCAAACTCTATTTGATATTGCTGTGTATTGGTGAATATAAATGTTTCCTTGTCAATTTCCTTTTATAACTTTCCTTGCTGTATTGGAATATATAGAGGCAAATATGGTATTCAGTTTTTCTATTATATACCATCACCAAAGTCAATAGTTATTGATATCAGATATCTGTATCTTAATTTATTTTATGTTTGCATCTTACTCAAGTAATTGAAATATTACTTTATCCAGCCCATGAATTACATGCAGTTTCCAATGGGAAGTTAAAAGCTGTGCAATTGCTTTGAACTAAAACCTTTAAGTAAGTTAATGAAGCATGTGTCTTTTAGACTCAGTAAGCAGATCATAATGGAATAAGGAAGTTGAGCTCTTTGCAGCATTAAATTCTCTCTTAACTAGCCCTGAAGCTTATGTAGATTTAACATGCTCGGTTCTGATCTTGTAAATTTAAGTGTAAGATTGAAAGAAATGGCATTCTAAAATAGAATGTCTCAGCCCAAATTTTTGGGTTATGACAGGCTTTCTGAAAAAAAAATACATTGTGAACTAAAATTGAACACAATCTGAGGGCAAATGAAGGAGATGAGGATTTCAGGAGCCAAGTGACAACTCTTGGTGCTTAAAATTTGCATTTGCATGTTGCTTTGAAGATGTTTCGACATTAGCATATGCATTTTGTATTGTGTACTTAACCTCGGGGTTTCTTTTTCCTCTTGTATCCTTTAGCCATAGTAAGTAGTTAAAGTTCTTGCCTATATTGGTATTGTATGCCTTAAATATTGCTGAAGAGCAAATTTACATAATGGAAAATAGACATCCATGAAGCTGCTAGGCTGCAGAGATTAAGGGTAAAATCAGTTACTGCCAAATGCAGAAGCTAAAACGCTTAAAAGTTTACCCTTTCTGTTGGTAATCAGATCTATTTATAGATTCACAGTCTTCTTGGCCCTTTAATAGGATGACCAGCAAGAAAGCCTTATTTTAGGTGACTTACGTAAATGCGGACATTTTTCTGTTCATTTTATTTCCAAAATTCTTGGGGACTCAGTAGCTAATTTTTATCCCAGGGTTTCTGAATATGTGTATGTGTAAGGAGAATATGTCACCCTTTATTGGATGGCTACCTTAAAGTATGTTGGGCTAGGCAACTCACCTGTGAACAAAGTGAGCTATTTTTATTACTTGAAAATATTGTATTTTTTTAACTTCATATTTCTAATAAACTAAAATTCATTCTAATTTTATTACTTAAATGTGTATTGGCAGAAACAGCTGCAACAAACTATATGCCAGTTTGGCATTTATTCAATTCTCTCAGGATTTTGGTTGTCACTGTTTTTGTTATCCACCAAATAAATTAAATTGTTTATTTTGCTATGTTCTTTACTTTTGGGGGGAAGGGATTTCAGATATCAGATAACAATAATTTTTGAATCTCACAGTCATTAATCAAGGACCTTCTAAATCCAGTTCTCCATAAGTGAAGTCAACTTGAATTGTTTCAGTATACAGATTTTGTTCTCATCTTTCTGATTTATTCACAATTAGATTAAACAGAAAATATGCTTTAAATGCATATCCACAAGAGCAATCATATTATGGAAATATTAACATTAAGCTCTGGAATTCACTGCAAATGTGCTTATTTCTGTCTTTACAAAGAAAAGAGAAAACAAATGAGGTTGACATTTGTAAAATAATGATAAAAAATAATATGCAATTGAAGGATAAACGTATGTTGGGATAATTAAAGTAAAATAATGCTAGTTTAAGTTTAGACTGTCTTATCTTTAGAATGGATTTTCTATGAGTTTTTAAAACGGAAAGATTGGTGGTGGGGGCGTGGGCAGTATATATCTCTCTCTTTTAGAAATGGAATTCTCATTGCTACTTGCTTTTACATTCCAGCAGAGGGAGCAAAAGCTAGTGAACAAATTATATAAGTGATACGAACACTACCAATGATGCTGCAATGCACAGAAACATTTAGAAAAAGTCTTGCTGATTTCAAACATCAAAACACAAGGGGGAAAAATGCCCTCAAGTTTGTGTCATTAAGAATTGTTTTCAAGCAATAAAAGATTATGTGTAAACATAGAAATCTCAAAGCAGACAGCCAATTAAAGTTAAAACTATCTTGGCCTTGTGCCATATATTCAAACATATGTAACATATGAATGAGTCAAAAAAGTTTACCAGATCTTAGAGCTACCAGTGTGCGCTACTATTTTGATTCAAGTTCTGGAACAGACTTTGTGAAGAATTTTTAATGGATAAAGTTCTTTAGTTGTTGGTTGCTTTGATTTTTCTCAGGATTAATGACATGACCAAGCCATTGTTACTGTCAGGTAATATGGTACCGTTGACAAAATTGCATCTTTTCTGAAATTTTACTTCTTCCCTTGAACAACATTCTTTGTGAGTATATATTTGAGGTCTCAAGGTGTTCTTAGAAAAGTTCTGATTTTAAAATTATACATGATCATCCTAAATTTGATTATCCTTTACATCTCAAAAGATGAGATCCATAGTTTCAACTCTCCCATATGCTAGTATTGAGATACATGTTAAGATTTGTTTGTTAAGAATTGTTAGAAAACACCAGTGACCATTTTTGTATTTTGAAGACAATATAGCAGATGCCTACAGGGTTGGGCTCGCTCACTCGGGAACAATTTATGTGCTTCTATCTGCCCCCTAGGTGTGCATGGCTTTAAAAAAAATCTGAATATTTTAGGCCTAGTGATAAAAACCTTTCAGATTTTAGGCCAGGCATGGTGGTTTACGCCTGTAACCTAGCACTTTGGGAGGCCGAGGCAGGCGGATCACTTGAGATCAGGAGTTTGAGACCAGCCTGGCCAGCATGGTAAAACCGCATTTCTATTACAAATACAAAAATTAGGCAGTTGTGATGGAATTCCATGCCTGTAGTCCCAGCTAATTGGGAGACTGAGACATGAAAATCACTTGAACCTGGGAGTTGGAGGTTGCAGTGATCTGAGATCACACTGCTGCACCCCAGCCTGGGTGACAGAGCTGGACTCCGTCTCAAAAAAAAAAACAAAAACGAAAAAAAAAGCTTTCAGATATTGTCTCTATCCCAGGTGATATGTCCCTCTTATTTGTTTAAGATGGCAACTGATATCCTGATTTCCTGACACTCTGTCCTCCACACTGCTTATCTCTCAGGTCACCCTGGACATAGATAGAAATTATTTGCCTGACCTCAGCTCATCAGGATGGCACTAAGCATAAAGAATACTTTGTTTTTAGGCTTTTTGACCTGGTCCCCCAGGCCTAATACCAGGTTGCCTTTATGTATCTTTTTTCATGTGTCTTCACCTGTTGTCTAGATAACCTCTGGTTAGCTCTGTTTAAGCAGAACTGAGTCCTCCCTTGCTCCTTCCAGGCCTCCGTTCTAACAAACACTGCCTCCCTGTCTGGAAGTCAGGACTGGCAATTCCCAGACTCCATAGAATACCTTTACGTTTTGTTTTGGCAAATTAGTTAACCTCTCTGTATCTTAATGTTTTTGTTTGTAAAACGGGAGTAATAGGTTGGCACATACAATTCAAATAGTTTCTAATTTATATTATTATTATCATCATATTGGAGGTGGTAGTGGTTGTCTCTCTTTTCTCCCTGTGGCAGGTTTCCTAAACCATTGACTCCTGTCTATTGCTATTCTCCCAGATTCTACATCCAGCCAGACTTGACTTCAGTTCCTATTTTGTATCCACTTAGCACCTGCTGCATTCTGAAGGACAAGTAATATTACACATCCACAAACTACAAAACCACATTGAATGTGGAGTAGTTAGAATGTGCCAGAAATAGGATAGGCTTCTTTTCATGCAGTCCCCAAGATAAGTCTATTCTGGAATTCTGGAAAAATTGGTGGCAGCAATGACATTATGTGTGAATCTCTGAATTTTCCCATTAAAACAGAAAACGACTAGAACAGCAAAACTTAAAAGAATGATAAACAATTTTGACAACAAATTTAGGTGGCAAAGTGTTCTCACAGATTCTCAAATATGAGCTGACATTGTCATGACCCAGATGATACTACAATTTTTGTAGGAGACAACAGAGGAAAGCAATGAGGTATTTGATGGAAATGAGGTCAGGATAACACCCAATTTTCTAATAGATACTCATGAGAAATTGTTTCAGGCCAATTGGATAATAGTAGCTGAAAATGGGAGAAGTACTTTGCAGGTGAGAAAAAAAACTCCTCTCTAATATCTGAAGGGTCTGAACAGTCTGCAGTCTGTGAATTCTTGAAACTCACTAGCTGAAGCTCCTTCTCAGAAGACACTTTGGGGAATAAAGCCCAACTAGAGTGGGAGGAAAAGGAAATGAATGGTCCAGATTAAAATGGGTGAGGTAAATGGGGTCAGGAGGTCTCAAGAAATAGAAGGGTAATTTTTTTTTTTAACACTTCAAAAACTACAGAAAAAGGTGTTCCATATTTGTGAAAATAGAAATGGTCTTTTGATCAATCATTTCCCCTTAAAAGACTAGGAAAATTGATCTTATGCAAAAAAGGAAAGAAGGAAGGAAGAACAAAAGGAAGAGAGAAAAGAAAAACTAGAAAAGCATGACTGATGTAAGAAAAAGATAGTAAGAAGTAGAATGGTATCTCTGCAAACAATGCAAGCACACCAGTACTTTATGCTCATAAGACAGAGGAAAAGTGTAATCTAATATTTCAAAAGATGCTAAAATAAATGCTCTAAATGATAGAATATAGAAAAGAACAACATAAATTTAGAAAAACTGAAATGTGCAAGTATAATGCAGGAAAGAATTAGAAATCAAAGACTAAATCATTTCAGAAATGAAGGCCAAACTTGTAAGAACACATGAGTGAATAATACCGAGAGCATGCCATAAGAATTTTAGAAAAGAAAAAGGAGCAACTAAAAATATAAAAATTGGAAACTAAATTGTTCAATTGAAAGTGACACATATAGAAGATAAGCAACAAGACCAAAAATATTAGGATTTCCTAAAGAGAAAAACCAATGAAATAAAATGAACATTAATAACTATAGGCAGGGTGCAGTGGCTCACACCTGTAATCCCAGCACCTTGGGAGGATGAGGCTGGTGGATTACCTGAGGTCAGGATTTCGAGACCAGCCTGACCAATATGATGTAACCCCATCTCTTCTAAAAAAAAAAAAAAAAAAATTTGACCAGGTGTGATGGTGGGCACCTGTAATCCCAGCTACTTGGGAAGCTGAGGCAGAGAATTGCCACCACTGCACTCCAGCCTGGGCGACAGAGTGAGACTGTATCTCGAAAAATAAAATAATGACTATAATTCCGGGAAACTTTTCTGAAAATAAAATTGCAACGATATTGTGAAAAGGAACACTACATCCCTGCGAGAGTGATCCATAATGAGTAATGTCAAGATACATTGTAGGAAATCTCCCAAACTTAAAAGATAAAAAAATCAGTTTGGCTTCGAGGGAAATAGATACTTGTAAGAATTAAGAGGGGGAAAATCCCAGATTGTCATCAGAGTTTTCAAAGGAATCCTTTACTCTGGAAGTAAATGGAGTAACATTTAAAAGGTAGTCAAGTTTGGTGAGTCATGGATTTTAGATCTATCAAAGTGATTTTCAAGTATAGCAGCCACAGATATATTTATCAACATGCAAGAACTCAAGACTATTGTTCCTGGTAAATAGAAATAGCATTTGCCCACTCGTTCAGGCCCAAAGCTTGGCATGTTTCTTGATGTCTTTATTTGTCTTATAACTCACATTCGATTCAATGGAAAGTTCCAGTGGCTCTACCTTCAAAATATATCTGAAATTGGACCTTCCACCCCCATTGTTATTCTGTTAATCACCATCATCTCTTGCTGGCATGACTACAGTGGCCTTCTTCCTTGTTTCTCTGCTTCCAGTCTTTCCTCCCTCTAATCTGCTCTTTGCACAGCAGCCACAATAAGCTACTATTATACCATGCCTATGCTAAAACTCTCATGATTCCTTACATTACTTAGTCTGGGATACCTCTCTAACCTGCCCCTTGCTCACTGCAGTGGTGGTACAAGGCTAGTCCATTATTTCACTCAGTACTGTCCAACTACAGGGAGCATCCATTTGCTGTTCCCCTGCCCAAAATGTCCTTCCATAGATGAAAATATGGTTGCTCTCCTCTTCATTAAACGTCTTTTCAAGTGTCTTTATTCCAACTGACCTTTCCTTTCTAAAATAGTACCATCTCCTTCACTTTATCTACCCTTACTTACTGTGCTTTATATTTCTTCACAGGACTTCTTGATTTTCTGACATATTACAAATCTATTTATTTGTTGCTCTCTTCCCTTCTAAAACATAAGCTTTATGAAGGAAGAGACTGTGTTTATTTTGTTCCTTTCTGTCTCCTCAGCACCTCAGGTAGTGCCTGGTATGAGATATACATTTTCCTGATACTACTACTCAATTGAATAAATGAATTCACAAGAGGTGTTACATACTAAAACATTAAAGTGTTATCTTTTGTAGAAAATAGATCAATAATAGGTTGTTACTGAAGGCAAAATATTTTGGAGCCATTCTTAAAGGTATTTCTTAATTTGTCAAAGAGTAAGAGGGCATGCATCTCCGATAAGTCCCTTTCCAGTACCACTGTCAGAGTATGTACTAGGCTGAATATGGCTTTGAATTTTCTGCTTTCCAGCAGAGAGAGAAAGCCTTACAAACAATTCAAGCTGTAACCCCTGTAATTATTAATTAGTGCCTATTCAAGTACCATGTACCTAGCAGAGATTCTTCTAATCAGATTGCATACCTTACATCTAAAAATGAATTCGTCATTTTGTGAGATATGTATTTCTCTAAGTATAATGGCATTATACTGTCCTACACTCTTTTAGGAACTAAATAGCAATAATGTATAATCTTATTTTCAAGAAATCTTCCTTTTATGAAAAGTCAATAAAATCTGATGTAAGGGATTTAAAAATAATTCAACTTATATAATTTGATCAGACTATGTGCAACCTATACCATCCTATTTACTACATCATACTACAATTTATCAGTTGTTACCTTCCTTAATCCTCTCCAGCTGCAGGTCCTGAAAGGTCTTTTGCCTATAGGTTCAATCCCTTCTAGTGTCTGGACCACCTGAAATCAGATTGAGAATATATTTCAGCCCTATATGAACAGGTACCGGGTTTTGCTTCTAGAAGCCCGTGCCCTTTCCTTGTAATATTCAGTGTGTGTTTTGTCTTTTTTAATGGGTTGCTGCTCAGATTTTTTTATGAAAACACATATAACTCTGCTCTAAATCTCAGCCCCTTGAAACAGGGCTTGATGACTCTGTCCAGTTTTTTCTAACATTTACCAAATGGGAATTCTGATCCATACTATTCTCAGTTATTGATGGGGGCCTTAATGCAAGTCATACCACTTTCCCCAACTCCAGGTACTAGTACTTGGCCATGAGGTTCTGCACCACAGAAAAAGTGAATTGTATAAACCAAATTCATCCTCTATATGTTTATGTAGTAAGTTTCCTGTCTTATTCATTAGCCAATGTGAGGAAACATGTACTCAGAGCATAGATAAGTAAATATATGTGTCCAATAATTCTACCAACTGAACAGTAAAATATGCATGTCTATGGTTCGGAGATACAAACTTTTCAAAAGCAGAGTGGACAAGCATAAATACATACTTGGGGTTGAGACTAAGTAAAAATCTGAAATATCCCATTTATTAGAAGGTTGAAGGTTTTTTTCTTTTTTGCATTCATTTGTTCTTGATTCAGTGAGATTAGTATCTTTAAAGTCAATTATTGGTTTTGTAATTACATTTGGCACAAATATGTATTAACTTTATGTTAATTATGGGACTAATGCCATGTTTGAATGTAAACCAAGAACTTTATGTCTGTAGTCAGCAATTCAATCTTGCTTTTGAGGAATTTGTAATGTGAAATCACTGTTTAGCATTGTAATAGCTTTCCTTAGGGTCAAGCACTTCCCAATAAGTTTGACATTAGGCATGAAAGAAGATGCATGAAAATGTTTTACTCACAGATATAAACAGTGTAATCTTTATTAACACACAGAATGGAACATACAGTAATGAAGCAATCTAAAAAGAACATAAATTTCAATATTTAGCCAATTTGTTTTTATTTCCTTCCATGCAATAGTATAGGAGTTCAAGAATAGTCAATGGTTATTTGAGTGGAATATGAAAAGTGTGTCCTAATTTTCAGAGGATTTGGGGAAGAATTCCTAATTCATAATATGCAGCTGCTTCCTTCTTCTATGATACTATGCTATAAACAGGGAATGTTTCTTGATTAGATGCCAATGCCAATTCTGTTCAAAAACTTCAGGAGGAGTTTAGAAATGTATACAGGTTAAGAATGGACACTGAAAAAGACAAATATTTAAAGTAATATGTTTTTCTTGGAGAAATTTTCTTATGAAGTTGTATTATTCAGTTAACAATAGATAGTAACATGAGAAGGATTTGATGACTTAAATAACTGTCTGATTTATGTTTTATCCCCCCCCTTTTGTGTGTTTCCTTTAGATAAGAAATGTTGAAACCAATCAGTGTTTAGACAACATGGGCCGCAAGGAAAATGAAAAAGTGGGTATATTCAACTGTCATGGTATGGGAGGAAATCAGGTAAACTCTCCCTTTTTATCAGCTTCATGTTTTAGAGGGAAAATATTGTTAAAACTATCAGTGGAGACCATGGCTCACATGTTAATAACTATAAACTGAGCTTAATAAATAAATGTACACTCAAATCTAGAACTAATTTGGCTATTTTATTGTCCCAAGGATCTTAAAGGAGAGCTGAAAAATTAAAATAAAAAGAGCAACACTTTCAGTGTGCCTACAGTTAATGAAGATATCCAAATATTTTAGACACATCTCATTTTATCATGTATTAGCAAATGAGAGGAGTACATTTTATTCTATTAACTGAATATAGAAAATAATTCCTCAACATCTGTGATGTTTTCCCAATGGTTATTTTTATCCATCTCTTTTCAGATTTTTATGTATGTTATGATTTTTAAGAGCTTTTGAAGTTTAATAAAATGTTTAAGTATATAGTTCAGTGTTGAAAGCTGACTAAAAGTCTTAGACAGCCTTTCTTGTGTGTGACAAGAGTTCTTGTGCTCTTCTTAAGCATTGGAAAAAAGCTTTGCATGGTGGGCCACATGGAGGCTATTTGGCTGTGAGTCTTCAGGACAGAGCTATTTTACTGCCATGGCCACTTTGAGAGGTAGAATTTGGAGTTCCTGGGAACTATACCAACAAAGCAGAGTTTGAGGTAGCTAATCCTCTGTAAACAAGTTATCTACAGAAGTTTAGGAGAACCAAAAGTTTTTTATCCAGAGGTAGAATTTCTGAGTTAGTGTGAACCGAGGTTGCAAAAGTTATCCTGTCCAGCACAATTATGGTTATATTTGTGTCAAGATTTATTACAAAAATACTTGTTGATTCTTGTACTATAAAGAAGAAAATGAACTCTGTTGAGTTTTGGCGCACCATACTTCAAACAGGGCCGGTGTTATTTAATGGAGAACATTAAAAGGAAGTTTCTCCCTTAAAAATTCTTAATTTAAAAAATCCTAATTAGTGTTCCAAACTGTCAATTTGAGCAAGAAAATATTTAAACCAAATTTCTAAATTACAGCATGGGAAATTGACCTTATGGAGGAAGAGGATAGAAACAACATAGGCAGACTAATGACAAAGCATTCAGAAATGATTCCATTTATTGTTTCACTGATTCATAATGAATGTGACAGGCCTCTACTGCCAAAAACCAATGAAGTCCTGATGAATTCAGCTGGAAACAACAAAATGCTTAACTATAAGAGGACTAAATGTGTGAGGGTTTAATTTTCTCACATAATAAAAATTCTGACATTTGTTTAGGACCTCAATGATTTCATAAAGAAACCAAAAACTTTATGTCTTTCCATTCTTTAGTGTTTAGAGTTAACTTTTATCATCAGCTGGTCAGAAGAGGACTGCTGAAATTCCAGACATCATATCCACATTCAAGGCAGGAATATCAAAGTCAGGGAAGAACTGCAATAGCCATATCTGTTTTTCTTTTAGGAAAAGCAAAAGCCTTCCTAGAGGCTCTACACGTCTCAGTGTATCTCTCTTTAGGTAAAAATGTGTTACTTGGACATCCCTAGTACAACAAAACACTGAATATTTAACCCCACACTCACAAGTAGCTGCTTCTCACAGTTCATTTACCAAGATATTGGGGAGACATTTAGAAGTGCCAGCCATAATCTGTTTGAACAACTTATGGCAAAAAAAATCAGCTAATTATCTGCTCCATAATTTCATACAGAATTTAAAGAAACACTACTTATGAAATCTCTCTCATTCTATTGCTTATGAAAATAAGAAAGGTACCCCAGATGAATTCTCTACATAGAATCATTACAGTGCCATATTAAAAATTACTTTATTCATCTGCACGTTTTCAAATACCCAGAAATAAGCTATCTCACTCTACTGCAAACTTCTTGCTGGCAGTCCTATATCTTACTCCTGTTTTCATACCCAGCACCTGCTGCAGTCTTGGAACATGGTGAGCACCTAACGAATACTAGGCAAGTAAATAGATGAAAGATTGTATTGCCAGAACAGTAGATTTGTACCTTAGAACTTTGTAGACATTGCCAAGAAATAATGAGCTGTTATTTTCATAGTAACTAAAAGTATATAAAAACAGCTCAGGGATTCATAAAGAAAGTGATCAAATAATAATAAGCATAAAATCTATCCCTACTTTTATTCTAATGTGCTCTACAAGATCAATTTAATAACAAGATAAAAATTAAAACCATTATTTTTCCATCTACATACTTAATTGCACATACACACACACACACACACACACACACACACACACACACACACAAATGTTTTTGGAGCCCTTTTTGTTAAAACACAAACAATGGAAACAATTCAGTATTTACCAAGAGGGGAATGGTTAAATAAAGCATGGTATACGCACAGTATAGAAAGCTGTATACCATCAAAATGACTGAGGGAGGTCTGCATGTGTGTCACTAGAACTTCAAAAGAGAAAAACAATCCAGACAACTTATTTTCAATAATCTCATTTATGAAAAAATATTTGAACAATATATAGTATCTGTATATTTATATGGATGCTATGTAATCTATTACAAATCTATAAAAATCTATCTGGAATATAGATTGTATCTGGCGAGTGGATATCTGGAAAGAAGACTGAGTTGGAAAAGAAATTTTCCTTTTTACCGCACATTTTTCTGCATACAGTAGTACATGTATTTCCTTCATAATTAAATAAGAATGGGGAAATTTAAACTATTGAGACTAGAAGAACATTGTTGTGTTGCATTACCCTGATCTGATTAATTGGGTAACTTATGGCAAGTTACATAATATTTTTGAGCTTTGATATTGATTGTCCATAAAATGAACAAAAGATTTCATTCAAATTTTTTCTAACACTAGGAAAATTCATTAAAAAAATTAACACTAAACATGGCACATACTAAACATGCAATGTGTATTGATCCATTGCCATTAATTAGCCCCTTTACTTGTTATTTCTATTGATGTTGTTAATTCTCTTATTTCTGAAGTTAAAAAATGTTCGTTCAGTGGCTAATGTCACAAGCAAGATAAAAGCACAACACTTAATTTGGTATTGTTGATTTCAAAACGATGAACAACCTCTCCTGTAACTCTAACAAATACAGATTATGGAAAAATTTAACCATCATATAAAACTCAATTATTATGAATTCTGCTCTGATGGAATTCAATATTTCTAAGATAATTAATACTAGGAACCTGTTTCAGGTTTTGTCTTTCTCACTTTAATAAAAAACAGATTTTAGAATTTTATTCTCAGAATTACCCTCCCTGGTTTTATTGCTATTCTTTTATGTTACCATGGAAGCAGCAATTATTTTTATGGTTATTTAGTTTTGACTGTTTTATAAGTAGCCCCCAACCCATAAAAATCACTCAAGCTTCTCTCTCTTGCTTTTACACAAAAATCATAACAAATGTTAAAATCCTTTTTTAACTTAGTTACATTTCTAAAAAAAGGTATTTTTTTTTTGTTTGTCAACAATTATACCTTAACCATTTCTCCTTGCATAGGAGTTTTGATAGTTTAGGGGTTTTTTAAGGCCTTGGAAACATCAGGAAGAAACTTACTTTTCAGTAGTTGTTAGAAATAATTTTCTTAAACACTCAGATTTCCCAGCAAAATCTAAATGGAGTTAATGAAAGTTTTTGTAGCAGGAATACTGCAAAAGCTAACAACTGGAGAATTATTATTCAATTCAACATGACCATTTTGAAGTGCTCTTTTTTTAAAGCCTTATAAATAAAAACTGTCTTACTCAAAGAATAACAAAATTCAGCACTCCATTTATATCTATTCTTGCAATGATTTATTTTCATTGTCAAGCAACTTCATGATAATCATTAACACTTTGAAAAGAATAAGAATAATTTGATTAACTTGAATATAAACTTTTACAAGTGAAAGACAGAAGTTACAATTTACTGAAATAAAGTATAGCAGTTGTGAGAGTGTCTTCTCTGTACTTCTGAAAGATGGCATGGATTCCTGGAAGCACTTCCATGTCCCGTACAATGTTAATGACTCAGATTTACATGTACAGCCCCAACCTCTCTCCTGAGCTCTAGAATCTATAGCCAGTTAATTATCGTTAATGTCTGCAGACATCTCAAACCCACCTGTTTCCAAACTGAACTCATTTCCTTTCCTTTCACAGAGTCATCCAAAATGGAAACCTAACATAGAAACATACTTCTGAAGTCCGATTAGTCACCAAATCCCAACACTTCTATGGAAAAATGTCCCTACATCTTAGTCCTTTTATAACCAGGATCTCTGCCTTTGTTCTAGCCTATATCTACTTTTACCCATATGGATTTAAAACCTCATTATTTTCATAACTCATAATTCATGCTACATTAGTTTAACATCTCATTAAATATTCAGCAGCTTTCCACTGCCCAAAGAATAAAAGCCAAATTCTTTCCTATGATATACAAAACCCCTCATAATTGTATCCCCATCTGGTTTTCCAGCCTGATCTACCTTGATGTCCCATCGGTCTCCTGTGCTCTAGACATACGTCTCATGATTTCTCATTCCTTGAATGCTTTCAGTGTTTTCCTATCCTAGCAGTTCACTTACACTGTTCTCTGAAATTGAGCTGTTGGCTACACTCTGCTCCACTAAAAAACTTAAGACACACTCACTGTTGAAAACCCGATAATTTAGCTTCTCATTTGCTAGCTATTCATTAGCAACTCCTTAACCTAAACAGGACACATTTTTAATGGATAAACTATAATTGATTTATTCATTGTTTTATTGTTTAACATACAATATTTATAAAAGTTCATTGTTATAAACCAGGCCCATCAATTTCCTTGTAGCTAAAATCTGGCAAGCGCCAATATTTACTTCTTTAGAAATATCTCTAGAAGTACATTTGCTACAGGACACATTTTTAATGGATAAGCTATAATTTATTTATTCTTTTATTGTTTAACATACAATATTTGTAAATGTTCAGTATTATAAACCAAGCCTATCAATTTCCTTGTAGCTAAAATCTGGTGATCACTAATATTTACTTCTTTAGAAATATGTCTAGAAGTATGTTTGCTCAATCAAAGGTTATGCAAAATTAGAAGGCTTTTAAGGTATACTAACAAATTGTTCTTTTTTCTTAAGATTTCAGCAAATAAGACTAATAGCTAAAATAAAAAGGACTCTGATAAACATTTAATACAAATTACCCTCTTTGAGACTTACAATGATCTTTGAAGTAGATAGTGTTATTATCTTATTTTACTTACGAATGTAATGGAAATCTTGAGTGATTAGTATCATGATTGAAATGGTAAAGCCAGTGTGAACCTAAGTCTGATTCCACACCAGGTTTATAGTCACTGTATTTGCATTGATTTCCAACCACACTTTCCAGGATTATAATCGCAGTGGCCAACCCTGTGTATTATATTTTTTTTTTGTTTTTTATCTTTGCCATTTTAGTATGGGAGAAACATTTTATCTTGTTTCAACCATATTTCTAGCATTATCAGTGCATTTAATGATTTTAAAAACTGGCATTTAAACATTTCAAAAATTGTTATTGCAAATTTTCTAGTGATATTGTTGCTTATGTTTCCATTGGGGGTTGAAAGGGGTCTTTTTTCTCTTGTCATTTATAAGAATACTTTGTTAAATATTATCGCCCTGGTCATGCATTTTGCAAACATTTTTCTGACTTTTTGTTTACAGTTTTTTTTATATACAGACTTTTCAAGTTTATATATTAAAACCAATGTTTGCCTTAATACTTTCTCTTTTTTGTGTAGAAATGCCATTCATTTTTAAAGTGCTTTGAAAAAACATTTATATCATCATAAAGGCATAATATCAAAATTGGTACTCAGATCATAGTCTTATTAGGAATATGTTATATCTACTCAAACTGATATTAATTTTTATTTAAAATTTACATAAAATAGCTGGGCATGGTGGCATGCATCTGTAGTACCATCTATTCAGAAGGCTAAGGCAGGAAGATCTCTTGCACATAGGAGTTTGAGTCCAGCCTGGGAAATGTAGCAAAACCCCATCTCTAGAAAAAAAAAAAACTCTAATACATAAAATATATTCATAATTAGGTAAAAATTAAATTAACATAACATTTATAACATAAACATTTTACTTTGAAACTAATCACTGTAACAATTTTAAAAATTCAATGCTGTTTCCCTCTGAATAGCAGCACATCTTTAATTAAAAATGAATAAAAATAGCCCCATACACATTGTACCTTTTCCTTTTAAAGGCAAAAAAATGTAAAGTAATGGAAAAATATTCACAACCCTAGTGAATGCATTTATAATGTTTCTTTTTCTCCCTGGAGCCACTCATTTGAAGACAGCTAGAAAGCACGTGGAAACATTCCATATAATTTATTGCGGTAAATGATTCAGAGCTATTTTTCAAGGTAGCAAGCCTTTAAGGAAGCTTATGCTAGCCATTTGTTAAAATGCTGTTTTCTGCCAAGATTAAAGAAGAGATCATTAGGTATGATCTACACTTTTATACAAATATCTCCTCCTCGTCTAACATCTGATTACTTAAATTGAATCTAATCTTATGACAGGTGTATTAAAAATTTAGAGAGTAAACAAATACTTTGTTTCATTACAGATCCTCTCCTAGAGAAAGCTTAATTATTTTATTAATATGTTCTAATGTACTCACAGATTGTAATGAATACATTCAACAGATATATATTCATTTTAAAGTTTGCATTTTTATAAGTACTGTAATTACTTAGAAGCCATTTCAATACTAATTTGGTCCCTTTTTAGTAGCTTGCACAGTGGAATTAAAACTTACCAGGGATTTCACAGAGTAAATTTGCAAGTTAAATAGAATGGCCTATGAGGAAAGAAGGAAAATCTACCATTCATTAAATGTTTAAATGAGTTGGATACATGCAAGCTAGAAGAAAGCAGGGTTACCACAACTTCTATAGAAACAGGAATTATTACAAGAGCCTTTCATTATCATTAATGCTTGACTGGGAGAACTTCTCTGGTCTTTGCTGACTTTGTCCTCCTGTCAGGAGATTATACTATACTTGGGATGGAATGCTGTCTTAGTCTATCTGGGTTGCTATAATAAACATACAATAAACTGGGTGGTTTAAAAACAACAGAAATTTATTGTACACAGTTCTGGAGGCTGAGAAGTCCAAGATCAAGACACCAGCAGATTTGGTGTCTGATGAGGGAAAAGTTCATTGAGCCTTCTTCTTGCATGCTCACATGGTGAAAGAGAAGAGCTAGATCTCTGGGTTTCTTTCATGAGGACACTAATCTCATTCCTCGGGGCAGAGACTTCATGACTTGATCACCTTCTAAGGGCCCAGACTTCTAATGCTATCACCCTGGGGACTGGATTTCAATGCATGAATTTGGGAGGGGGGACTCAAACGTTTAGACTACAACAAATGATAATTTCAGTCAATCATTCATCCAACAAAACCTGATTATCCTAGTCAATAATAAACACTCTAGGTAGTATATGACTAAGGGGAAAATATCCAAAGAAAAGAAACGTTTCACTTTGGCTAGCTTTTTGGGGGATCATGAGTTATCTCTTTACCCTCAAGTTCTTCAAACAATGAAGTTTGAAGTTTTCTTTTAAGTAAATCCAATAGGCCCTGTGATCATTTGATCAGTCAGGTGTCAACAAAGTCTTAGGATACTTTTACATGTCAGTGAATCTCTTATTGCCATGCTACTCTGTTCAGTCTTGATTCTTCACATTTTATTTTTCTGCAAAATTAATCCCCTCAAGTTTAAGGAGGCGTCAAAGTTGTACCATATCCTGGGCTTGCAGCCATTGTTTCAAACTCAGTGTGTCTATAATTACCTTTTGTCCCAAGCCTTTTGTCCTCTAATCTCTTTCTTTCATCTTTTACATTTTTCTCTCTCATCTTTCATCACCCCATGCTCACTACAAACTGGACCTAAGCCCTGGGGATTCATTCTACTAGTCTTTTTAAAATCTATTTCTTCTTTTCTTCCATTAATAACTCAGCTTTCTAAATTTGAGCCTTGATTGCCTCAGACTTGAATTACTACAATAATTTTCAGTGTAGTTTCCCCAAACTCCAGCCTGTCCCTATCTTCATTCCACCTTCCTTAAATAATTAAGTGATGACTCCGTCGAAATTATCGCTCCCAGTTGGAAAAACAAACAAGCACCAAAAAAAAAAAAAAAAAAAAACCTGAAAGAGTTCCTAGTTATTACAGGATAAAATTGGCATTGTTTACACAACTTTGACCCCTTTCTGCTCTACTCCATCAACTTTATGGACCCTGACCAGACTTGTAAAAAATTGTTATTGTTAGTTGTTGTTTTTCTTATAGCTTTGCCTTTTCTTAAACCCATTTGCCATGACCTTGCCATGCTTTTATTTATTTATTTATTTATTTATTTATTTATTTTTTTGAGGCGGAGTCTTGCTCTGTTGCCCAGGCTGGAGTGCAGTGACACAATTTTGGCTCACTGCAACCTCCACCTCCCGGGTTCAAGTGATTCTCCTACCTCAGCCCCCCCGAGTAGCTGGGATTACAGGAACCCGCAACCATACCTGGCTAATTTTTGTATTTTTAGTAGAGACAGGGTTTCACCATGTTGGCCAGGATGGTCTCGAACTCCTGAACTCAGGTGATCCACCCGCCTCCACATCCCAAAGTGCTGGGATTACAGGTGTGAGCCACCGCGCCCGGCCACTTTTAGAACTATGTAAATTCTATCAATCTAGTCGCACTTCAAAACCCACCATCTCTATATAGTGCTGTATTTTTTCTGCTTTTCAATATACATTTATATTTCCTTTGAACTTAGACTGCAGAATTTTTTCTCTTGTTTTTAACTTATATATTATTTCTCAATATTTTATTCTTTAATCATTATGTTGTCATTCAATTATGTATGTTTCATTATCCTATCTGCAAAAATAAATTGTAGTCTTTTTTGGAAGCAAGAATTTGTTGTTTTTCTTTTTAAAAAATCCCCTTACAGGAATAAACGCTTATTAAAAGAATGAACAAGTAAACAATTGTTATAAAAATGTTTAAAGTTACACAAGAGCCTGTTATCATAAAAATAGCTTCAAAATTCTGACTACATAAACTAAAATCATCTTCCTGGAGGATGAAATTGTTCCTCTAGAAATGTGTGGATTTGGGGCTTTGGTAACTGAAAAATGAATATCAAAAGATACCCATGTTCTAACCCCTGGAGCCTGTGTTTTACCTTATGTGGCAAAAAATATTTTGTAGACATGATTTTGTTAAAGATCTTGAGATATGGAGATAATCTTGTGTTATCTAGATAGCCGCGCTACCACATGTATCCTTATAAAAGGGAAGCAGAGGGAGAAGAAAAGGTGATGTGACCATAGTGGCAGAGCTTGGAGTAAAGCGGCCAATAAGCCAGGGAATGGTTGTAGTCACAAGAACCTGGAAGAAGCAAGGGCTAGATTTTCCCCCAGACCCTCTGGAGGGAAAGAGGCCCTGCTGATACCTGATTCCCACCCAGTAAAACTGATTTTGGACTTCTGGCCTCCTGAAATGTGAGAGAATAAATTCCTGTTTAAGCTTCCAAGTTTGTGATAATTTGTTTTATCAACGACAGGAAATTAAGGGCTCACAAAGAAAATTCTAGAAACAGTATAGCTCAGAGTTCATAAATAGCCAACTTCTTTGGACAAAAATTTCTAAGATACTAAACCTTCCTCAAAGTTGGAAACATACATGATTTCATCCTGATACTTCTAAACATGTTGTGATAGCTAGAAAGAGTGGACCTCAGTTATATAGTACTGATTCTTCAGAAAGTTTTAATTGTAGAATTTTTGTTTTTAGAGATTCTATTTTAACTCAAATTTTTGTATTCTCTACCATCATAGTAATTGTAAATAACATTGTCAATTATAAATCCTATATTAATAAAAATATAAAATAACTAAAATGAAATCCTTAAAATATTAAATGATAATGGCTCCTTCTGTTAATAAATCCTGCACAGGAGTGTTAAAATTATTTTATCCAATAATTGAGCAAAAAATCAACAAGTAACATTTTCCTAATTCAAGAAAATTATATCAGAGGAACATCTATGAAAACTTGGAGTTGATAAAAACTTGTAGGAACTTGTGATCTGATCCTGCCGAGTGTTGCCTGGCCACAGTGTTTTCTAGCATAGAAATGTTAAATATGTCATGTTTGGCCCTTTTCTTTCCCTGACAAGAGTTACTCAAAGATTGTAAGTTTTTGTTTTCTTTCTTAAGATCTCTTAAAAATTGAAAACTAGTATTGGCTGTTTTTTAGATTTATCTTTTAAGTATTGTAGAGTCTCATTTTATGTTTCTACATTTTGATTGTTAACATCTACCATGTAAGACATTTTTTCAAAAGTGTTAGAAAAATTGTCAATTCAAGTCAATCTAGAAAACACCTTTTCCATTTTCATAAGATATTTAAAATTCATTTCATGGGATCCTACATTGATTTAAATAAGTCACAACTTTGGCTCTATGCTTTCTAGCTATGAGCACAAAGTTGGTTATATGATTCCTTGTGTCCATAATATTAAAAAACAGCTTCGTAAAAGTTCAGATATTCCTGGTGTTAAAATCATAAGGATATCTACTGTGATTATCGATAAGAAAAGCAGTACATGGAAAAGGGACTATGGCACCAACAAGGGAAGGACACCAGACCAAATTGGAGAAGACAGTGTCTAAGAAGGCATCTTAGAAAATAGCAAAGTATGTCAGTGCAAATAGTAGGACAAAATATTATTCTGTTGATTAATTGGTTAAAGTATATCACCATCATCCCATGCATAACTGAGATTAATATTACATTTCTATAAGGCTTAAACATTAAAATGATATTCTGTTTTTTAATGTACATAAATGTGTATCAGTTTTATTAATGGGATTCCCAGAATATTTGGAAAAACTCCCCTTAAAGTGAAATATCACAGTAAGTGTATAAAGCAGAACGTTTAATACTACCCTGGTTTAATAAAACCCCACTACATACACACACACATACACGTAGACACAAAGGCGTACCTCAACCATCAGGACAACTTTTCTTACTGAAAATGGGAATCTGTTACCTGAAAAATTTACTAAAAGGAAAATGTGTTGCTACTAACAGCATCCACTTTGTACCCATTGCCCACCAATTTGTCTCCTCTAAAGCTCCTGTTATATACAGATGGACTGCAAGCTCTCTGCTGACTTTACCAAGATGAATTTGTCTCCATTAAACTAGATATTTATTTCCAGCAGAACTTATTACTCCTGTGTACTCTTTAATCTTCTGACCCTCATTCTTTTCTCCACCTTGTCTTCAAATAGTTTTCTCCTGTTTTATGCCTAATTCGTTTTGACTTGAGGCTATAACCTTACTCATTACTGTGAAATGTATCCTTGTTCAAGTAACCTTCCGGCCAACATTTTATCATATTTAATACTTTTTTAATTAAATGATTTGAATGCATGAGTCTACTATATGTGAAGAATATTAAGGTCTTTCGAAATACTCTTCTATTCCCCATCACCCTTAGACTAGCTGTATGCCTATTTTTCATCAAGGACATAATTATTTTCACCATAACCATTTTAAGCACTCTATAATAGATAATATAACTTTATCTTGGCTTAATCCATGTAGTAAAAGTCAGTTTATTATTTTCTAGGTAAGGTAAATAATGTCTGTGATTTCTAAATTAACAGCGTTGCCTAGCCCACTTTTATATTCTTGAGAAGCCAAGCAGAATCCATACTTATGATTAGTTGCTTTGCTGTACCTGTGATTGTCTTCATCTTACTGCATTTGCAATTCCATCCTAGTTATTAAATTGTTACAGTTTTGGAATAAATTAGGCAAGGATATTCCTAGTTTTTTTTGCTTTTTAAATATGAAAACTTATTTTTTCAGAAATGAAAAGATAGCACAATAAGGCCAAGATGACATAAAACTATACAAGAAATTCATGTTCAAATAGTTGACTAGGCAATACTAATACTTTATCCCGGGAAGAGAAACATTAAGTTTAGAAAAAGAAGACATCTGAAAAAATATGCAAGTGAAATGAAGATATTTGATATATTTTATAGCACAAAATACATTTTATATTCTGTATAAGATTTTTTAAAGATTCCTTGCTTAAAACTTACCAATTTTTAAAAGGAGTCATCAAATATAAAATATTATTGAAAGTAGCCCAGTGTAAGGAGACTAATCAAGTGGAAGCTACACATCGATATGGCTAAAACACAATGTTTTAGATATGTCATTTAAAGTTAACTATATATCCCATATATATTTTGCCTTGCTACAAATATAGACGTAGTAGTCATACTATGTCAGCAAAATATCTTCTATTATAGGTTTTACATGCCCTAATTATATACTCATGATGTCAAAAAGGAATTGGATCTGAGATATCATGAGATTGTCATTTTTCTGTATAAATGATGAAGAAAAATTATTTCTAATTTTTTTCCAAATCTATTCTTAACATTAAAAGCTATCTTTATATTGAAATATGTCTAATACTTTTTTCTTTGCACAAGAAATACGTTTTCTAGGATTTTATTGCATTCTACACTAATTTGAAGCATGTGTTAGCAGTATGAAATGGGTTTTTTCTTTTAATTACATCATATATAATTATACATGCAAGAAATATATATATATTTGTTATAGATAGATATCGCTGTTTAAATCCACTTTGAAACAAGATGTAATATAAATAGGCACACAAACCATATACTCAATCTCATAGGGAATACAAAAGAATCATTAACAATACAGCAAGCATTCATAATGCTCTACAGGAGGCATTCAGGAAAAGTTCTGATAAGGACAGGAATGGGTCTAAAAGACTCCACAAAGCACTCAGCGTGCACAGAGAGCAGAGGGTGAGTAAGGACAGCAAGGACACTGCCACAAATGGAATTGAAAGTCTGGAGTGGGACAGTGGAAAATTAAGTTTTACAAGTAGAAGAGCTAAGATTACAATAGAAGGTAAATGTCAAGCAAGGGAATTTTGACTTGAGGGGACAAAAGAAGCAATGAGCTTTCAGACTACAAAGGTTGTCAAAGGATCGTGTGTAATAAGCATCATGAAAATACTTGGACTGCACTTTTGTTATTAAAAATGACACTGTGAATTCAGCCAAATATGAAAAGGGCTTCTTATTCATGTTATTTAGTGTTGAAGTCTAATTTCACAGCAAGCAGGGGCAGACTGTAGAAACTTTTTCAATTCATTTCTTTTATTCTGCTATCAAAGGATTTGATCCAATACAAAGCATGAAGCTACATGTGGTGTATACAGAAATGATACCTTTCCATTAAAGGAAAAAAAGCTTCAGTAGGTAACCATGGAAACAGCCTAGTGTCCATTCCAATTTCGAATAGAAAATCTTAGTCTTCTAATGAAAACCTACCAGATAGACATACTTCTACTCCAGCTCTCTAGTTCTAACTCTCTAAAAAGGTTTGGAATATTCATTTTATTTAAGAAAGTAAAATATGTGTTTATGACTGTAATATGCAAAATTTGATTTTTTCTTTTAGACAAAAAATTCAAAGATGCATTTTAAGACCGTAACACCAAGGAATGATCAAAGTGGTCTTGATAGCTCACCATAGCCAGTGTCCAATTCATGGTTTACACATTACTGAGAGCAAGTGCCACTTCTGGGTGGCAGAAATTGTCATGTTCCAATCCACCTAACAAAGAGACCTGATTTTTTTTCTTCACTCAGTGAGTTAACCAAGTGACCCGTGAGGTGGACTTATTTTTTTTATTATTATTATACTTTAAGTTCTAGGGTACATGTGCACAATGTGCAGGTTTATTATATAAGTATGCATGTGCTATGTTGGTTTGCTGCGCCCATTAATTCATCATTTACATTAGGTATTTCTCCTAATGTTATCCCTCACCCCTCCCCCCACCCCACAACAGGCCCTGGTGTGTGATGTTCCCTGCCCTGTGTCCAAGTGTTCTCATTGTTCATTTCTCACCTATGAGTGAGAACATGCGGTGTTTGGTTTTCTGTCTTGTGATAGTTTGCTGAAAATGATGGTTTCCAGCTTCATCCATGTCCCTGCAAAGGACATGAACTCATCCTTTTTTATGGCTGCATGCTATTCCGTGGTGTATATGTGCCACATTTTCTTAATCCAGTCTATCATTGATGGACATTTGGGTTGGTTCCAAGTCTTTGCTATTGTGAATAGTGCCACAATAAACATACGTGTGCATGTGTCTTTATAGTAGCATGATTTGTAATCCTTTGGGTGTATACCCAGTAATGGGATTGCTGGGTCAAATGGTATTTCTAGTTCTAGATCCTTGAGGAATCACCACACTGTCTTCTACAATGACTGAACTAGTTTACAGTCCCACCAACAGTGTAAAAGCATTCCTATTTCTCCACATCCTCTTCGAGCTGGACTTATTTTTTAAATGTATGAATCTTAATGTGGTGTTACTTATAAATCTAACATAAATACATAGCCCCCAATTTCTTACTGAAGCTTTAAGAGACAAGTTAAAATTGTTCTCTGGGATCCCTTGTACAGAAGAATTTCATATAAGTTTTGTAGCTTACTCCAGGAGGTATAACATAACCTTCCCCCTTCCCTGGCATGTGTGCTGTGTTGACTTTCTTCCAAAGATTACAATGTGGAAGAGGATAGTGGCAACTTTACAATGGAGAAATATTGGCAAATACTACCTTGAGTATGTAATCAAGATTCTATAATGTGAGTCATAGTGATACCGTGCACCCTTGAAGTGATGGGAATGACACTGTACCTTTGAGGTCTTCCACCCCCAACCCTAGACCCCTAATCCAGCCATGAGATAAACATTAGAAAAATTCAAACTGAGAGATATTCTATAAAGTGCCTGATAAGTATTTCTCAAAACCATCATCAAAAAGATAAAAGTCTGAACATCTATCAGAGTAGGCTGAGGGCATATGATGACTAAAAATATATTGTTGGATGGGATCTTGGAAAAAAGGAGCATGGATTGGATTCGTAGGGGAACATGATGGAAAACCTAATGAAATCTGAATAAACTCTAGAGTTTGAAAAGTATCACCAAGAAGTGAAATGCTAATTGTGTGGAAAGAACATGGGACTTGGAGCCTGACAGACCATAGTTCAAACACTGGCTCTCCCACTTGCAAACGGAGTGACTTTGTAGAACTTCTTTAACCTTTGCAAACCTCATAATCCTAATTTGCAAAAAAAGAATAATACTGTATGTGCTATATCATATTTAATATACAGTATATTTTAAATGACCACTGTCTTTCGTAACACACAACAGTTGCTCCCAAAATGTTGTTTCTCCCCTTGCTTCCAGCCCAACATCAAAAGGCTAGCACCTCTGACCCTCTGGGGGTCTTTTAACCAAAAGAGGCTGCTTTGCCCATCAGTCACATTAAATTCTGCTCCCTGGAAGCTCACCTCAAGCAAAAGCTGAGGGCAGATGATGTATAAATATCTCAGCCCTGTCACTCTTTGAGGGACTGACTCCGACGTGCTTATTCTACACTGGTTGCCAGGGATCCCCAACAGAATTAAGCTCTAGTTATCCACAGTGTAACTAATTAGATAATTTACCATGTATTAGCCTTTTTCTCTTCCCTACCACCATACTTGTCTTTTCTGAGATCATATTCCTAACGAACGACTTGCACTTGAATTACTGTCTCAGTGTCTGCCTTTGGGGGAACCCAAACTAAATAGACCCTGCTCTTAGTTTGCAGCAATACTGACAGATGCTATAAGTAAATAAGATTTCTTTAAACTTGAAGCCATCTAGAAAACTTTGGTATTATTTGCACCCAATGCAAGCATTGTGGTAATAATTCCAAGGTAAATTTTGAATATTGTGTCCGGTGAAGAGTACTCTCCCTTTACAGATAGAGAGTTGTAAACAATACATAAGTATATCATTGTGCCATTTAGGATATTATAATTTGGCTTTTCAGAATCTTTATATATGTAACAATTTTATCTAATTACATGCCTGAATATATCTGGTATAGTATATACCAGAGTTTTAGGAAGTGTCTAAAGATACAAGTGAAAACTTTTAAAATTGTATGAAATGTTACAAAAACACCTGTAAAAGACATTCAGATGGGATAGCAAAAAGTCTTTTATCATTATTTTTCAGCTATTGAAACAAACACTAAAATACAATAGTTTATCTAGGTGTCATGTGAATGATATATTTATTGTTGTTATGTCTGTTTTACATTTACATGCTTAGATCAGTAAGAACCTCAAAGATCAGGTATCTTGCTGCATAATGGTACCAACTAATGAGACTGGCATAAAGGGAAACTATGTATGCATGTATGTTGCCCATTGCTAAAGAAGAATATCTCATTTAGGAGTCAGTGTTCTTGCCTTGAAATATATGTTCAAAAGCCAGTTCTTCACAGAATAAATACTTAAGGAATGATCCAGTTGAGAAAACATAGGCGAATATACCATCAATAGAAAGATAAGTTGCCAGAAGACCATTACAAAAAGAAGAGAGTTCAAATGAGGTTGGAATAGTGGGAGAAATTCTTACAGAAATGATAACACTCGGTTAGATGTATGTGTATTGAATTCAGCAGTTCATGAAGGTGATGTGTAATTTGGATAAACAAGACAGATTAAACACACAGAAAAGTATGTTGAATAAATAGATGATTGAATAGCTGAGAAATAGAATGATAGAGATGGGTCATGGGAGATGATGTCTCACATGGTGAGAACAATTCTAGTTTTTGCATGTTTCCTTTTTCCTGATGGTCCCGTATTAGTTTTCTATTGTTTCATAACAAATTACTACAAATTTAGTGGCTTAAAACAACACAAAATTATTATTTCACAGTTTGTAAGAGGAATTCAGGCACAATGTGGCTGGGTTCTCTGCTCAGGGTCTCACACAGCTGAAATATAGGTGTTGGCCAGAGCTGTGATCTCAACTCAGCCTCAGGGGATTCCTCTTCCAACCTCCCTGGTTCCTGGCAAAGTTCAGTTCCTTGCAGCTGTAAGACTGACTTCCTATCTTTCTTTGTTGTCTGGCTCTCTGCCAGGGTTGCGCTCTGCCAGCAGCTAGAGGCTGCCCTCCGTTATGTGCCATGTAGCTCTCTCCAAATCATGGCAGTTTTCATCTTCAGGCCAGCAGGAGAGTCCCTCTCTTCAGTGCTAACCCAAGGTTGTATCTAATATCTTTGTAATATAATGTAATGTGATCTTGAAATGACTGTCCTGTCATGGTCACAGTCTGTCTTGCACTTAAGGGAAGGAGGTTATACAGGGCATGTATACCAGGGGATAGAAACCTTCGGTCATCTGCAAATTGTACATCAGTCACATAAAAAGCAATATGTGTACATTCAAGCATAACTCGTGGGATATATTTTGGAAGGGATTCCCAACTGAGCTTAAATTTGCAATTTATATTCTTCAATACTGCAATAGTAAAATATAAGCATCTGGAGCATGTTTATAAATTAGATTTCCCAAATTGTAGACTTCCTTTAAAACCCTTCAGGGCAGAGTCAAGTATTAAAATTACATAAAATTTAACATTGGTAATGTTTAAAATGGGAAGATTTAACAATGAAGTAGAATAGAAATGTCAGTCACATTTTGTTATTATATTACTGCATGTGGCTTATTGTATTATCTTGCACTGTTGCTCTGTTTCCCATAAAGACTAGGGAATTTCAAAGACAAATTATTTTCATTTCAATTCAATTCATAATTGTTGGACACTACTCTCCTACTAGAACAGTTTCCATAGGGATTCAAAATATATCCTTAGCATTGTTATTGAGTCCACAAGATTTTTTTAAAAGAATATAAAAACCAATAGGAAAAGATGAGATAGAATATAATCAAATGTAGATTTTATGCATGAATATTGCACAGATAATCACTAATATTTAGATATTACTTGAGGCAAATGCTTTGTTTAGAGCTTACATGAATTTGGCTTATTCAGTCTGTAAAATAGCCTATGAAAGAGGAGCCATATATTTATCCTTTTTCTCAGATGAGGAATCCAACATTTTGACAAAGACTCCCAGTAACCCTGGTCCTGAGTGATACCTCTCAAGCTTAGGTTTGTGTAATCTTCTAGAGCCCATTGTTGCAGTATTGTCCAATTCCAAATATATACAGATATGATACCTACCTGCGGTACAATGGCAGATAAGCTATCTGGGTAAAAATGGTAAGAGAGTGCTAAATGAAAAAACTGAAGAATGTATGAAGACTTTAAGGAGATTAGCCTTTTGCTTGGCAAAGCGGAGTGGGAAGGATAGTCCTAGTGATGTGATCAGCACATACGAGGTCAGGGATGGAAGAATAAGCTGGCTTGCTGAGTGCAAATTAAGCATCACATTGTTATATATTGTTATATTGAGGTGAAAGCAGAAAGAGTGAATGCTTTACAGATGATGTTGAGGACAGGATGAGAATACTGAACATAAGATGCATACCCACATCCTGTTTTTAGTTGTAGAATTTTAGAGCATTAAAGCTGTAAAAAATAAGTGATATCATGTAGATGTGTAAGAGTAAGTTAAGAGTGTACAGCTAGATGCTACTTACTCCTCCTGACCCTCCTCTGAACAAACCGCTGAGCTAACAGCCTATAGATGAAACCTGAAATCAATTCAGGCATAGGAAAAGGTACTGTCTGGGAATAAACTTGGCAGCTCCACTGGTGACTTCAATACCATCTATGAATTCTCCATGCTGACTTCAGGATGGTGTGAATATGGAGGAAGATAATATTTTAAAAAATAATTCACATTGCTAAAGGTATAATTTTTGTTGCTAAACAGTTATCTCTTTGATTTCAATACAAATTTTCTTGGGTTATTTTTACAGATGAGGGAGAAAATCATTATGACAAGTTTATTTTCTTACAAGTTTTATTTCTGGATTTTTGTTGACACACTTTTCGAATTGACTGCGTTCCAAATACCTAAAGAGATCTCCCAGAGGATGCAAAGGTCCACAATGACTAAATAATGGGTGTGTAAAGAGAAGTTTAAGCCCGTGGACAAATAGTGGCAAATAGCAGAGCTTCAGGTTCAGAGAGACCTCCGTCACTAAGCAGCTCGGACATATTGGGAATCCTGTAACTTCTTTGGCTTCAGTTTCACTTAGCGAAGCAGTTGGCAAAATTCGATATATATCAAACTGTGAACTTTTATAGTAAATATTGTCCTGATGAACTCGCACAAGAAAAGTATTTTATAATTTAAATGTAGGGAAATCAAAACCTATATGATAGAGCTGCACCAAATATACATGTAGACATTTTGAATTCAAATATATATTCATTTGTAAACTATACCTTAATAAAAATAAAACAAAAATGAATACATGTATATGTATCTAGGCATACATTGTTTTATTACTCTTTGCTTTATTGTGCTTCACGGATATTGCACTTTTTAACAAATTGAATGTTTGTGACAACCCTACATGGAGCATGTCTATTGGCTTCATTTTTCCAACAGCATGTGCCCACTTTATGTCTTTGTGTCAAACTTTGGTAATTCTCCCAATATGTTAAACTTTTTCATCATTATTTTATCTGTTGTGATGATCTATGATCAGTGATTTTTTTTTTTTTTTTTTATTTGAGATGGAGTCTCGCTCTGTCGCCCAGGCTGGAGTGCAGTGGCGCGATCTCTGCTCACTGCAAGCTCCGCCTCCCGGGTTCATGCCATTCTCCTGCCTCAGCCTCCCACGGGCGCCTGCCACCACTAACTATTGTTAATTGTTTTGTGGTGCTGCAAACTGTACCTATATAACAACAGTGAACTTAACTGATGAATGTTGTGTGTATTCTGACTGCTCCACAGACTGGCCATTCCCTATCTCTCGCTCCACAGACTGGCCATTCCCTATCTCTCGCTCCACAGGGCTTCCTGTTCCTGAAACACAACAATATTGAAGTTAGGCCAGTTAATAACCCTACAATGGCATCTGTGTGTTCAAGTGAAAGGAAAGTCACATGTTTCTCACTTTAAATCAAAAGCTATAAAAGATTAAGCTTAGTGAGGAAGGTATGTCAAGAGCCGACACAGGCCAAAAAGTAGGCATCTTGCACCAAACAGCTGGAAAAATAGTGAAGGGAAAGGAAAAATTCTTGAAGGAAATTGAAAGTGTTACTCTAGTAAACACATAAATGAAAAGAGAGCAAACAGCCTTATTCCGTATATAGAGACAGTTTTAGTGGTTTGAATAGAAGATCAAACAAGCTATGAAATGCCTTTACACCAAAACTTCTTCCACAGCAGGGCCCTAACTCTAATTCTATGATGGGTGAGAAAGCTGCAGAAGAAAATTTGAAGCTAGCAGAAGTTGATTTATGAGTTTTAAGGAAAGAAAGATAACATAAAAGGGCAAGGTGAAGTAGCAAGTGCTGAGGGAGAAGCTGCAGCAAGTTATCCAGAAGATCCAGCTAAGATCATTGATAAATGTGAATACAGTAAACAACAGATTTTCAATGTAGATAAAACAGCACCCAATTGGAAGAAGATGCCATCTGGGACTTCCATAGCTAGAAAAGCGAAGTCATTGCCTAGCTTCAAAGCTTCAAAAGACAGGCTGATTCTCTTGTTAGGAAAAATATAGCGAGTGACTTTAAGTCAAAAGCAATGTTCATTTATTTACCATTCCCCAAATCCTAGGGCCCTTAACAATTATGCTGAATCTACTCTGCCTGTGCTCTGTAAATGGAACAACAAGGCCTGGATTATAGCACATCTGTTTGCAACATGGTGTACTAAATATTTTAAGCCCACTGTTGTGACCTATTTCTGAGGAAAAAAAGATTCCTTTTAAAATATTACTCCTCATTGATAATTTACTCAGTCACCCAAGAGCTCTGTTGGAGATGTACAAGGAGATTAATGTTTTCATGTCTGCTAACACAATATTCATTCTGCAGACCATAGATCAAGGAGCAAGTTCAATTTTCAAGTCTTACTATTTAAGAAATACGTCTTCTAAAGTTCTCACTGCCATAGTGATTCCTGTAATAGATCTGGGCAAAGTAAATTGAAAACTTTATGGAAAGTATTCACAATTCTAGATACCGTAAATAACATTTGTGATTCATGGGAGGAGGTCAAAATATCAACAATATCAGGAGTTTGGGAAAAGTTAATCCCAACCCTCTTAGATGACTTTGAGGGGTTCAAGACATCAGTGGAGGAAATAATTTCAGATAAGGTGGAAATAGCAGGAGAACTAGAATTAGGAGTGGAGCCCGAAGACGTCATTGAATTTCTGCACTCTCAAGCTAAAACTTTAATGAATGAGCATTGCTTCTTATCAATGATCAAGAAAAGTGGTTTCTTGAGATGGTGTCTACTCCTATTGAAGATGCTGTGAACACTGTTGAAATGACAACAAAGTATTTAGAATATTACATAAACTCAAGTCGATAAAGCAGTGTCAGGTTTTGAGAGGATTAATTCAAATTTTGAAAGAAGTTCTACCATGAGTAAAATGCTATCAAACATCACATGCTACAGAAAAATCTTTAGTGAAAGGAAAAGTTGATTGATGTGATAAACTTCATTGTTGTCTTATTTTTTAAAATTACTACATCCACCTAACTTTCATCAGTCACCACTCTGGTCAGTCTGCAGCCATCAGCATTGAGGCAAGACCCTCCATCAGCAGAAATATTACCACTCACCGAAGGCTAGGATAATTGTTAGCATTTTTAACGATAAAATATTTTTAATTAAGGAATATACATTGTTTTTTGAGACACAATGCTACTGCACGCTTAATATGGCTACAGTATGGTGTAAACATAACTCCTATGCACAGGGGAACAAAAAAATTCATGTGCCTTGCTTTAAATGCGATACTTGTTTTATTATAGTGATCTGAAACTGAACCCACAGTATCTCTGAAGTTTGCCTGTGTATATGCATGTACATACATACACACTCACACCCCTCTTCATCTATGGATTAAAAAAAGGAAAGAAAGAAACCCTGTGGCAAGATAAAGCAAGTAAAGGGCATTTAATTCCTGAGATCTTTGCAGAAAGAGACAAGATTCAGGTCCCAATAATACAGCAATGCCTTTGCTTTCTTACTTTGTAACGTGTACTGCTGGAACAAGGTTTCATTAGCACAGGCTCATGCTAGAGATTTGAGAAAACGTTTGTTTGTAGTTTTTCTAAAGGGTCATGAAAAAAGAGTATTTTAAAAGAAGTAACTATACATATATTAGGATTTTAAACATAATACAACTGGGAAAAAAAATGTGGACACCTAGTCTTTCATTATATAAAATTAATTTAACAGAATATTTTAGATCCTTCTCACAGAAGTCCTTGAAATTATTTAGATGTTTTAGGTATTTGAAGAATTGTAAAATGTCTTTGGACATTCTCCCTAAAAAGAAAAATCCAGAACAAACCATACATGTACGTGAAAAAGAAAGAATGCTTACCATCTGATATGATTTGGCTGTGTCTCCACCAAAATCTCATCTTGAATTGTAGCTCCCATAATCCCCACGTGTCATGAGAGGGACCTGGTGGGAGATAATTGAATCATGGGGGCAGGTTTTTCCCATGTTGTTCTCATGATAGTGAATAAGTCTCACGAGAGCTGATGGTTTTATAAAGGGCAGTTTCCCTGCACACGCTCTCTTGCCTGCCACCATGTGGGATGTGCCTTTGCTCCTCCTTCACCTTCCACCACAATTGTGAGCCTCCCCAGCTATGTGGAACTGTGAGTCCATTAAACCTCTTTCCTTTATAAATTACCCAGTCTTAGGTATGTCCTTATAGCAGTGTGAGAACGGACTAAAACATCATCTATGAAAAGAAAAATACAGAGATTAAAAGGAATTGAGATTTGAATTGGCTTTATATGTAGTATCATCCATTATAGATAGTACTCATTTGATTACAATATAAATTCAGAAGCAGAAATCATTACGACTTCAATAAAGTATACATAAAATCAGGAAATCACCTAGTCACATTATAAAACACCTTTATGAAGATACAGCTATAATATAAAAGTATTTTGAAAATGGTTGATTTTATACTATTGGAAAGTATAACTGGATGTTAAAATTTCAGCCCAGATACCAAGATACAATAAATGTGAAATGTAAAATCAGATTTCCCTATGCAAAATTTGCAATGACAATCTAAAATCAGATTTTCCTGTGCAAAATTTGCAAAGACACTTTGGAAATCTGATTTCGTGACTTTAGACACTTCAACCAGCATGAGGAGGAAAAGGAGGTATGTTGGTTTGCTGGAGCTGTTGTATCAAATTACTGCAAACTAGGTTGCTTAATAGAAACCTAGTAAATTGCTTAATAGAAATTTATTGTCTTATAGTTCTGGAGGCTAGAAGTCTGAAATCAAGGTGTCAGAAGTGCCATACTCCCTCTGAAACCTAAGGGAGAATCATCTTTTTCCTCTTCTAGCTTCCGGTGTTTGCCAACAATCCTTGGTGTCCCATGGCTTGTAGATGCATCATTCCAGTCTCTACTTCCATCATCACATGGCTGTCTTTTCTCTGTCTCTATTCTCTTATAAGGACGCCAGTCCTTTTAGATTAAGGGCCCATCTTACTCCAGTATGACTTCATCATGAGGACTATCTCCATAAGTGTGCACATTTTTTGGTACTGGTGGTTAGTACTTCAATATATCATCTGGGGAGCCACAGTTCAACCCATAATGGAAAGTATCAGAATATGAAGAAGATTACAAGATTTTGCCTGGAGAGATTAGTTGCCCTCCCTCTAGAGGAGATGGGCTGGGATTCTAGCTTCCAGTAAGAGGAGGATTCAAGGCCAGGAAGTTCTTGAGCTTGCAACCCATGCAATCACACAGATCCCTACAATCTTGGAATTCTTGGTAATTTTATAAAAATAAGTTCTGCATTTTCATTTTGCACTGGGACCTGCAAATTATGCAGGATGCCAGTTGGAGAGCTTGGTATATGCTTCTGGTACTTGAGAATATGGCAGGCTGTGGCCTGACTCACACATGATAAGGCTGGCTTGTGACAACTGAATACAGGGAGCTGACTGCACTGCCTAAGGTTAGCCTGCCTCCCAGAGTTTTCACAAAAAGTGGCTCACTTATAAAATATGCATTGTCCTCTCTCTTTGCACTTCAGTTAAGAGGTGCTCAGAGATGGGAATCTCTAAGAAAATCCAAATGGTCTCAGGACAGGGAGCTTTAAATCTCTGGCAGGCCAGAGAACAGGAAGGAGTTATACAAACCAGTTCAAGTAAGACCTCTCTTACAGCTTTGCCACTCTGGAAGAATAAAAAAATAAAAAATAAAAAATAAATTGATTAGCAGACTGGGTGAATTTAGGAGTGGGTAGGAACAGTGAGGAATAAAAAAAAAGCTTAAGTCGTAAAACAGAAAAAGCCTTTGCCTCTGCAGGCTGCCAACATAAATTAGGCCCAATGTGAAGAAGGGGGAATTATTTGATATTACATTACATTTAGAGTTTTGATTAGTACTACTAAACAGTATATTCTAATTTCTGAATTGAATCCCAAGGTGATCTAAACAGGTTAGCCAAAAAAAAAAAAAAATTCATGTACACCATGTTTTTCATTTAGGAATAAGGAAAGATATGTTATCTACTCCAATACATTGTAAAGGGTTAGTGGTGTTGTGGCCTGAATTGTGCTCTTCTAGAAATTCATATGTTGAAGTCTTAACCCCCAGTTCCTTAGAATGTAACCATATTAGAGATGAGTCTTTAAAGAATTTTGGCATCATTAGGGTGCCCTAATCTAATGTAACTGGTGTTTTTATAAAAAGAGGAGATTAGGACACATGCAAACAGAGAAGGAAGACCGTGTGAAGACACATGGAGAAGATCCCTCTTACAAGCCAAAGAGAGTGGCCTCAGCAGAAACCAACTCTACTAAGATCTTGATCTTGGACTTCCAGCCTCCAAACCTGTCAGGAAATAAATTTCTGTTGCTTAGGCCACCCAGTCCATAGTACTTTGTTATGACAGCCCTAGTGAACTAATACAACAGTAAACAATAAAAACTGAGTTATTACAGTGATTAGTTTGTTGGTTTGTTTGTTTTTTTTAGAGGAGTCTCGCTCTGTAGCCCAGGCTGGAGTGCAGTGGTGTGATCTCCGCTCACTGCAAATTCCGCCTCCCGGGCTCACGCCATTCTCCTGCCTCAGCCTCCAGAGTAGCTGGAACTACAGGCGCCCACCACCACACCCTGCTAATTTTTTGTATTTTTAGTAGAGACGGGGTTTCACCGTGTTAGCCAGGATGGTCTCAATCTCCTGACCTCGTGATCCATGCGCCTGGGCCTCCCAAACTGCTGGGATTAAGGCATAATAATCAACAAGGTCCATAAAATGGAGCATAGACATCATCACCTGTATCATTATCACCGTCTTATAAGATAGCTGAGATTAAAAGAGTTGACTCAAAAATGGCCATTTTAGTGGTTGTTTGTAGACCTAGCTTGACTGAAGGACTACATGAGAATATATGTGATACTAGATAGCTCATAATTTTACAGTTGAGACAACATGAACATTAAGTGTGAAACAGAATTTTAAAAACACTATAAATTACTAAATCCATAGGATTCATACAAAGAGCTCTACATGTTACATTTTGCAGTACTGTAAGTTGGTATACATTCATAGAAATATAAATGTAATTGCACAATAGAAGAATAGAGCAAATTTATTTAATGTAATATATACGAAGCATAGAACACATTTTTTAAAAAAGGTAGTGTTCAATTAATGTTAACTTTCTCCCTGTTTCCTCTTTTATAATGGAAGGAAAGGCACAGAAATTGATTGTTTTTCCCTGCTTCTAGTCAGCTTAATCAAAGTGATTAGACTTTGAACCAATTAATTGTCATTAAAGTCAGGCTGCCACTGGAACAAATGGAAACATATGCTAAATCTATGGTTCATGTAACACAGTTCTGCTTTACTAACTATTGGTAACCGATGATAAAGCAATTTGAGAGATAATTAGAAAAGGAAGAAGAATAGTTTCCATTATTTTAAGAGAATGTACAATGAGATTTTATTAATGAATGAATCAATCTTGTATCGTGTAGTTATCAGTATATGTGATAGTTTAAGGTAAAGTGCTTCATTGGTGTGCAGGTTAGAAATATTTTAACTCACATAGTCAGGCATAAAGGTTTCAACCACAGCAAGGACAGGCTGGGCCTTACACATACTAACTGAGAGTGTCTGTGGAGTAGTGAGATGGAAAAACAAGCAACAGCTATAGGGAATAGCTGCTTCCTAGGAAATACAGCATGAGATTTGGAGATTGTCCCCAAAGTCATAAAGGAACTCATAAGTAGTTAATCTAGAGGGTCATAATACAATGCTGAAATTATCAGAAACATCTGTCATCAGGTATTATAAACTCTCTCTCGGGACTTGTGTAGTGGCCAAGGGTCAGCACAGACAGGCAAGAGCAAACATTGCTGGACCCTTATACTAAAATTTCTTGGCAGTATTGGGAAGAAATCCTCAATTTGGGATTAACTCCAAGACTGGGAATAATAACTCTAAATATCAGCTACTGAATTTTGTCTGTGTGCTAGAATCTCTGCAAAGTATTTCACATATAATGTTTTCAGTATACCCAAAGTGAATTCCATGAACCTTTCACAGTAGTAAACATGAAAAAAATTTTAATAATGACAATTATGGGTTAAAAAGCTAATGGATATAAATGATAAATAATTGAGATCAAACCTAATAATTTCCAGATAAAATCAAGAAGGATATGTATATACTGACATGCACTGACTTTTTTATTATTATGAAGAGTAAAAGACATCCTAGAAACAAGCATACAAACGAGATTATTTCCCAGGTACACAAAGCAAATTAATCCTGATTTTACATTAATCCAAGAAAAATAAGGAAGCATTATCTACAGATTGTTTTTAACATTGCTTGTGAGCCAAATATTTTAACATCTGTTAATTTTTTTTCAAGTACAAAGGCCAAAAAAAATTTAGCAGACATATAATTTATATACACATATAAGTGCAGAAACTGTTCTACAGATATATCTTTCTTAAATGTACGTTACTTATAACTGTAACAACCACAAATGAATCTAAATTAGAAATTGAGGATCAAGGGATATATGGTAGACTGCTCTCTGAAAGGTTCAACAGGTACTGTTTCCAAACTATCTTAAGACACTGGAGAAGAATACACTGTATAAAAACGGCCTGAGCCATTAGAAAATTAAGGCTGAAATGGATGTTATGATGTTTCCTTTTACACTGGCATTTGTACACTTTAAAAGGAAGCAATTCTAATGTCGAAGACTATCCTTCAGTATTGAAATAATCCTATAATGAACAAAAGAAATTTCTCTAGAAATTTTCTTCTCTCAGCTTAAGATTCTCACTTGTGTAATTAAATAAGTTTGTAATTGTGTTTAAGATAATACGGTTTGGGGAGGATATGAATATTTCTGTTTGATGGGTTTTTATTTTATTCTTCTTAGGTGACCATATGTTCTTCATAAAAAACATATGAACATGAAAAAGTAAAGAACCTAGAAAATTTATTTGTGAATTGAATATATGAAGTCTGTGTTATATTTTACATAATTCAATTAAATGTACTTCACATTTCTCAAATTTGTATATTATTGAGAAAATGTATAACCTTTGTGAAGAATTTTCTGGGTTTTGTTGTTGTTGTTGTTGTTGTTTTGAGACTGGGTCTTGCTCTGTCACCCAGACTGAGTGCAGTGGTGTGATCATGGCTCAAGCAATCTGCCAACCTCAGCCTCTCCCACTCAGCCTCCCAAGTAGTGGGGACAACAGGCGTGTACCACCATGCTTGGATAATTTTCTTTTTATTATCGTTTGTAGAGCTGACATCTCTGTATGTTTCCCTGGCTGGTCTCAAACTCCTGGGCTCAAGCAATCCTCTCGCCTTAGCCTCCCAAAGTGTTGGGATTACAGGCGTGAGCCACCGAACCACCGACCCAGCCCCCCATAATTTCCTTTTAAGCGGTTGGCAGAAGAGGGTATTTGTGTTCTGTCATTGATTTTGCCGCTTCCTCTCACCACTTCTTGTGGTTTTCATAGAAGTTCTGAGTAGCAATGCTGCAGAGGCAACTCTTCCAAGACTAACTCGTTCAGCTTACGGAGCTCCAGAGTTTATGTTATTTGTAAAGCTGACTTCCTCAGATTTCATCAGATATCTTTGAGAAACAAAAAGACCCTGACATGACCTTTCTCATTATGTATTCTGTTGACATTGCAAGGAGAAAGAAAAACCCACAGAATACTGAACAATGCTTATCGTAGTTAAAAGAAGAAAACACATTCTATAATTATGTGCTTAATAACCCTCATGAGGCTGGGCATGGCGGCTCACACCTGTAATCCCAGCACTTTGGGAGGCCGAGGCAGGTGGATCATGAGGTCGGGAGATTGAGACCATCCTGGCCAACATAGTGAAACCCCGTCTCTACTAAAATACAAAACATTAGGCCGGCATGGTGGCGCATGCCTGTAGTCCCAGCCACTCGGGAGGCTGAGGCAGGAGAATCGCTTGAATCCGGGAGGCGGAGGTTGCAGTAAGCCCAGATTACGCCAGTGCACTCCAGCCTGACGACAGAGCAAGACTCCATCTAAAAAAAAAAAAAAAAAAACCCTCATGAAACCTTAATAATCAATGTTGTAAATAAATTATTCACACCAGGAACAAAATAATAAAGATTATTATAGTTCAATTGAATTATCTAACAAAGAGTCCATAATCCACCGTGACATTTCTTGGATATTTTCAGAAGAATTGATGTAGTTAAGCTTAGGCAAACCATATTAGAGAGATAAGTGTAGAGCCTACCTTTAATAAGATCTCTAGAGAAGATACTTCTACAACCTTCAGAAGCTCACTGACAGTATTTAATAAAACTTACACGATGTACTTATGTTATCAGAAGAAAGATTTAAACTTCTATATGAAAAAATGACATTGTAGAATTGGAGAACTGGTCATACAATAGTAGGAACAGGGACTGCCTTCACTGAGCTCCATGCAGTTTGTAAACTTTATTTTACTTAACCTATTGAGAGCTTTATAATGCAAGTATCATGAAAGAACTACAGTGCCAGCAAATAATGGGTATTTAAAGGTTTGTTTTGTTAAACTGAGGCCTCACCAAAACATCATAAAACAGATGACTTTGTCCCTATTTTGCAGTTGAGGAAAAAGACTCAAAGAGATGAATTAGCTTTCTCAAGATAACATACCAGCAATCGTTTGAAAACACAAGTTTATCTGATACGAAAGCTTCCCTGGATAGATCTGCTCTATTGTGACATTTTAAAACATACATTTTTTTTATTAGCTGAATTTATATTTTCAGGTATTTTCTTACACTGCTGACAAAGAAATCCGAACCGATGACTTGTGCTTGGATGTTTCTAGACTCAATGGACCTGTAATCATGTTAAAATGCCACCATATGAGAGGAAATCAGTTATGGGAATATGATGCTGAGGTATAGTATTTTCTTAATTTACTTATTATTTGATGCTTAAGCTCAGTTATATATTTCAACATTCAACATTTAAATCTTAAGCTGGTTTTTATCTACATTGGCAGAATTAGATTTTCAAGCATGCAGGCTCATATCCGGTAATATTAGGATGGCATATCATATAAACAGGTTTCACCAAATTGGTCCATTAATATAAAATATGAATGAGGACAATAAAATCAGTTTTGTGTATGACAACTTGTTATCTCCATGTACATGCCAAACATAAATTAGGCAAGAGGTAAGCTAAGCCTATCTGAGAGGTTTGTATGAAGATGTGCATACAGGATAATATTGACAATATGTCCATATTTTCAAATTTTAAATTTTACAATACTAATCACTGACATTTATGTTCCTCAACTGGAAGGAACAATATCTGACAAGATTAACAAGATTTCTTTACTGTTTACAGTTGTAAATATTTTGCAGAATTCAGTAAACTAATTAGTCACATAAAAAGTTGAGTAGCCTCTTCTCAATATAGCACACCTTTCTGACAGAGAAGAGGGAGAGAAAACCACAAAATTACTGTTGGAAATTTATCTCCAGGCAGTGTGTAAAAACCAGATCAGCCATCAGATGGAGCTAATAAAAAAGAAATATTTTCCTTTGCATAACGAAGCTTACTCTTGAAAACAGCTTCATTTCTTTCAGTTTTCTTTTTTGATTAACAAAATGAATTGGTTGTCTGTGTTACATTTCCCACATTATTAAGTGGTAGGTGATTTATTTAAAAGGAAAACTAAACTTCGTTCTGCTTAAAAGATAAATACTACTATAGAGGTAAATGAGTCTCACAGATGCAGTATTCCATGCAAGCCTAAAATTTTCTACAAGAATAACATTTTAAAAACCAATCTACAGAGTTTTTGGTATTGTTGATATTTTAGCAAGACCTTTTAAAAACCTTTTTGAATGTCGTTTTAATATTTGCATGAGTCTGTAGTTTCTTAAGTTGAATACTAGAAAAATTTACTGAATTCTCATAGGATTTGAAACTGGTTGTGCAGGGTTAATTTTGGGCCTAACACTCATACAGTGTTACCAGGATCTTAGGACACAAAATCATCTTCTGGGCCATAATTGAGGGCAAACACTGAGAATTCTTCCTATGTTGTACCAGTGTGATTAAGATGCTACTGCCTTCGCTATATCTTACTCACCTTGTCTGACCACCAATTTTTTTCTCTTCAACTATTATTTATTGGTACCATCCTTGATATTAAGCCTACAGAAAACAGTGCCTTTGCAAAATACATGTAGGTAAATCCTTCATCAGTACTCTCTTCTATGAGGAAAAGTGCAGTAAAATGTACAGATATAGTAGAAATCCTGTAAGTGATATTTGTTTTTAAATAAAACTTGTTCTTCTTGTTGTTACTGTTCCGTTTCTACCAGGAACCTGGGGCTCTACTGAGCTTATGCTAAAAATAAGAAAATCTAGAATATATTTATTAAGAAAGGGGAATGATCGTGTACATTTTTATAAAAGCAAGCAGTGTGGAATTTTAGAATACCACTTTTAATCTTTAAACTTTTCCATAACTCTTGAGTGAACAATGTCATAACTCAAATTCTTTCATTTCTCAAATAACTACTGTTAGCAATTTGGTGTATATTTTGGTTTACATTTTCTGTCAGCTAGTAGCAATGCTATTGAATACTAAGGAATTTTAAGTAAAAAGTGAAAAAAAAAATAGGTAGCTTCACATAGGTAGATAAATAAATGATTTCTATAAATTTACTCTTTTGGATGACTAGTAGTTATCTGTTGCAGTATTTCAGAGCACTATAATATTTTGTGTCATGTTTACTTTGACTTTGGAACACACGCACAAAAAGCTTATAAAATGTCATAAATATTGAGAAATTTTTATTTTAAATAATTTGATCATCTGAATTATATAGCTTAATTAAATTCTCTTATATGTTTATGTTTTCAAAATTAACTAGTGATGTTTACATTGTCTAATGACAGCACTTTGCCAAATTAAAAAATGCATAGGTCATAATCTAATAAATGACATGAGAATAGAGCAATTGTAGGAATAATACATTGCCTTTCTGGAAATTTCAGCTTTGATGTGCGATTATATTTTTGAGAAGGTCGTTAAAAAGGATTTTTTTTAAACAAAATTGAAATATAACATTTATTACTATGCTTTTCAGTTTTACATTTAGGGTTTCTTTAGTTCACAGAATGGTTCCACCCCTTGCTACCCACAGGGTGATTCCAGGAGTAGTAGCATCACCTGGGAACTTGTTAGAAATGCAGGATCCGAACCCATGCTAAACACACTGAATCCAAGTTTGTATTTTAACAAAATCTCCGATCATTCATATACATATTTACATTTGAAAAGGACAGGGTCAAATATCTATGTATCTTCCATAGTCTTTTTATACACTGGTTAAAGAATGTTACAAATTTAGGAAAAGGCATGAATACAATTTGGAAAATGGCAAGGCCTCCAGAGGGGAGCAGAGAGAGGGAAAGGGAGCAAAAGGATAAGAGGTGTTGAGATGAGAAAGAGGAATAATTGCTCAGTGGTTCTATTCTTCTCATATTCCAACCTGTGGAAAGTAAATGCGCACTGCTTACTACTTTAACTCAATTCTTTATCTTTTGCTGGCAAGGACAAAATTATTCTTTGAAAAATCTCTGAGGTGGTGCAGGTTCAAGGCAGAATAAAAATTGTTGGAGTTCATAGAATTACAGAACTGAAATGTACCTTAAAGTTCTCTCCTTTAAGCCTTTATCAGGAGGAACTAAAGCATAAAGATTACACCGCTAGCAGCAGAGCTAGGATTCAGGTCCTAATAAAGTATTCCAAGCAAGCTAGCTATCAGTACAATTGTGAATCTCACCATGTGAACAGCACAAATATTCCATCACCTTATCTCCCATAGTCCTTTCAATCTTAGAAAAGAAAGTCATAAATAGAAGCAAGATTGTTGGAATATCCAGAGAAAAATGGAAACAGTGTCATGAAGCCTCAAAAGATGGAATCTATCCAGCTACTTTGGTTTTGTTTACTTCTTAGGTGAGTGGGGGAAAAGAGAAGGAATACAGTTCAACACGTATTTATCTGTTTTCTCATGCAATTCTTACAATAGTCTTATAAGACAGTTATTCTATTTTTCACATTAGTAAAATGAAGCATAGGGTAAATGCCTCGTTTAAGTTTGCACAGCCAGATTCTGGCAGTAAATCCAGCAATTTTTCTACTACACTACATTGCCTCTTGATGTTGTCGAAAAACTGGAAATAATTAGATTCTCTTTCAGTGGTTAAGATATAATAAGCTAAATATACAGTATTTCAAATGGAATAGCTAAATGCTATCAGTTATTTGTTATGCCAAATTTTGAACTAAAATTTCTCATTTTTTTAATAGGGGGAAAGGTGTTCTACAATAAATATGGTCCATTTAGCTAAATAAGCAGTCATAAAACTACTTTGTCATTTTGCTCTAATTGCTTACAAACTTCAGCTATACATATTCATAATATAATATCTAATTGCTTATCCTTGTAATTGAATGAAACTAAGCACATGTTAGTAATAAATGCACTTCTTTGGTCAACTTTGATTTCAAGTGTAGTTTCTCACACCCCTAACTAAATAGTCCTTAAATAACCACGAATTCAATTCACTGTCATCTTATATGTGGCCTAACCTGTTTGAATTGAGGGCATCCTGGGCATCATTAGCAAAATTGTGGGGTACCTACGTGGTCTGGAAGCTTAAATAAATTGCACAAACCCTTCTGTGCCATGAAATGCCTATTGCCAGGATTAAATGAAGAGAAAAAAATTCATCTCACTGAGACATTTTAAAAATTATTTTTATAAAGTTCTGTCATCCATTAATTCTATTGTTTTCAGGTGTTCTTATATTCTGTTTGAACATTATAATTATGTTCCAATCAATTTAGAATATTTCCCTATGATATGTGCACATAATTACATTTCTTTTTGAATAACTAGGCAGCTACATACAGTGTGAGAATCTAATTTTAGATCAGAACACTTATGTTCAACAAACACTATGCAACAAAGAAAAAAAGGGAGAAAAATATGATACTAAAAATAACTTATTTTTCATGTGACTGAGCAAGTTGACTTAGAAAATACTTGTTGTGAATTCTATATACATCTGTATCAAATAATTTCCAGAGTCACAATATAAGGAATTTTTTTCCATAGGTGAAATGTGTTAGATTAATATTTAGACTTTACTTACACTACCATCTTTTATTTACCTTTATTAGAGAGCAGGTAAATGGGATTATAATTTCAAGGTAAGTGATCTTTAAGTGCATCCCAGCCATTCCCCTGTGTAGCATTCCTAAGAAAAACAATGGCTCAATTTACCTTTTGAAGGTTGTGTGCATTACACAGTTATTACCTTTCCATATTCCTATTGACCCATAGCTGTGATTTCTTATTAGAAGTAGTGAGTAGGAATTTCAATAGATTAGCGTCATATTTGTAGTTCCTATATGTTAAATGATTACACTTCATATTTTATAATATTTCTGTTCGACTGAATGCGTAGATTACCTTGTCTGGAGATCATAATTAATGTTTTGAGTAACAACTTTGTTATATTAATTTTTAATTGTTATTCTATGCTTGATTAACAGAAGAACTCCTATTATCTTTGCTATTAAATTAAATATAGTACAAATTTATACTTATTTTGTATATGATTATATGTAATAACATAATTGATTGGGTTTTATTTTAATCTTTTACTATACCAACTTTTAAACTGAGACCTGTGCGATTGGCTCTTAAATCAACTATGCAGTCAGTTCATTAAAATATCTATTTTTTTAAATTAGTATGTTTTAATACCAAGGTATGGCCTAATTTTACAATATTAATGGCTCTTATTTTGTCACCAAAATTGTTTAGCCTGATTCCAGTTGGCTTTAAGTAGGAATTATATATTTGGAAGGGTAAAGTTAGAGATACTCCACGCTACATTTTATGTTAGTCAAACTTGCAAATATATTTAAAGGCATGAATCGTTAATATTTTTCTTATGTATTTTTACATGTTACGATTAAAATATTCTACATTGCAGGCAATACCAAGGCTTTGCATTCTAGAGGAGAACAATAAAGTAATACTATATTATAAACAAAACTCAATACTATCTTAGGGTTTAGATGATCCTATTTTTAGTCAATATTTTAAATAAAGCTATAGGAAAATATATTTGGCAGTAAGTTGCATGTCAGCCTGGATGTCACATTGTCTTCAAAGTTGAGTTAATATAGCTGGATGTAGTGGCATGGGCCTGTAGTACCAGCTACTTGGCAAGCTGAGATGGGAGGATTGCTAGAGCCCAAGAGTTCAAGGCCAGCCTGGGCAATATAGTGAGACCCTTTCTCTAAAACAAAACAAAAGTAGACTAATTAGGCATTTGCAACAAAAACAGATATAACTAAGGGTTGATATACCTAATAAAGAGCATATCAACCCTTAATTACTATACTTTTTGAAAGGGAAATAGTATACCACATATAGAAATGTGCAAGGACTTGAATAAACAGCATAGTAGAAATGTAGCCAAAGAAAATGAAAAAAAGTTTTTAAAAAACATAAATAAAAATCATTTTATGTGTGTTACTGTATTCATTTCTTGCTTATCCTTTCAATACAGCAAGAAATGTTTTTAGCAGCAACATGTAATATTGGTGAAGATGCAGTGAGACTGACACCCATAAAGTATCCTGGCAGATAGCAAGCACAAGAAGTGTTAGCTGCTGCTGCTATTATTACAAAATTACTGTTATAGATATATTTTAAAGGACTTTGCTGATATGTGTTAAAGTGTTCATGTATTTGACCTTGCAATTTCACTTCTAAGAATCATTTCCAAAGAAATAATGACAGATGTAGACATTGATGTTCAGAGATATTTGCCATGTGTTATTAATAATGACAAATATCTCTGAATATCAATATATTGATCAAATATCTCTGAAATACAATATATTTTTGTTATTTGCAATAGCTCCAAATTGGAAAGATATTCCCTGCAAATAAAAAAGTTAAATGGATTTTGGAAATTCATTTTAGAGAAATAGTTTATTTCTTAATAGTATGTTTGTAGATTATTTTAGTGATAGAAAAAATGCCCACAACATGAATAAAAGAATATTTTATTATATGACCTCAATTGTATAAATACATAAAATTATTAGAACATACATACAATATTAATAATTGTTATCTTTTCAAACAGTATACTGAGAAAAAAATGAACTATGCTTTGTTTTCAAGCAAATGAAGACACTAAATAATTTTGTGTGTTTTTAAATGAAAAATAATTTTTGTCTCAATAAGGACAAGATTTGTAATTTTTCTTCTGGGCTATGGCTTTTTAGAAGTACCTGGAATGAAACTTCTTTGACTATTTTTTCATGGCCATTCATTTGATAAACACCTTTGGGACATATGTTACAGTCATTTTTTTAATGAAAATTCTATATTGTATTTATGCCCTGGGGTCATGTTTCCAGAGGATAAGCAAAATCATTTTGTTTTTGTTTTATGTCATAAAAATAATTTTTCTTCTATATTACAAACATAATTAACATCATTTACACTAATATCTTTGTTGTTAAAGTGGCATTTTCCAAGAAAAGTTCACTTCAAGGAGAAATATCACTGAGAGTAGAGGATGATCTAGCCTAGCAGTTTTGAACAGTATGGGTGGAAAATTCATGTTTGGTTTAAAAACAAAAATATAAACTAGTCTTCTTAAAAAATCAAGCTATATAGTTAACAATATTATTTATAGTTACAGTTTTAATATTAACTACATAGTTAATATTATGAATACAATGTTATTTTTTCTTTCTTTACAAATTATGTACTATTTTACTGTGGAAGATAAATCCTTGAAAACATAAATCCAATAATTTGTGTTCATTAAGCTGCCTGAGAGAAGTAGCTTAATTTTAACAGGATTTATTGTCTGCACTGGTCTTTCACTAAGTGTTTGAATCAACAGACTTACTTAGTGTCTCCCAAGGGCAGGCACGGAGCTTCAAGATGTAGGTGGCCATAGTCTGTGGCTTTCCTGGAGCTTATGTTCCTATGGAGGAAATAGATGGAGAGCAAGAAACAGACAGATAAATTAATTAATTAAAATTGTTTGGAGAATTAGATTAAGAGTTAATCTTTTTCTTTTTCCTCCCTTCATTATCTACCTTTCTAATTGACATCTAACAAAGGTGGCAATGTACATGTGGAACACAACCCAGGTTAGCCTTGTAAAAACATAAGTGGGAGCAATTTGAGTACCATACTGTTCAAAGTAAAGCCTTAAAGCTAAATTATCCTCTGAATTTGTCCCTGATATTTATTTAATTTTAGGGTGAAAGAATGAGGAGGCCAAGGGCCATAGCTGGACTAATCAACTATTTTGAATATCCACTCGCAAATAACTCATCTGGTACTAAAAAGCATTGTATTACTAGGATGAAGGCTGAGAATATAATCTTTTATATCTAAAATAACCTTTTGCCAAAAATATTTCATTATTTTATCGTAAGCCCCTCTCCATATTCTCAGTCTTATCTTCATTTACTCCTTCCTTATAGGGTTGATATTAAAGCCATCTAAAAAAATGTGGCTCACAGCTCCATGGATACAATTATTGTGACATGTGCCTTCCATCTTTATCCAGTAGAAATTGCATGTTGCCTAGGATGATTGATTTATTACTGTCTTTGTACTTGATTTTGTCATTATTCGTTATTTTCTTTGTCAAACAGACCCACACTCTTCTTCATATAATCACCCAGTCTTGTCTCTCAGTGAACAAAGTAGCTGATGGCTCCCAGCATCCTACTGTGGAAACCTGTAATGATAGCACTTTGCAAAAATGGCTACTAAGAAACTATACAAGAATGGAAATTTTTAGAAATATTTTTGGGAATTCTACTGATTACATTCTCTAATGATTTTTGGAGGTTTGTGTTGCAGATTTTATTAAATTTATTTTAGCATTTTTGTTATGTTCAGTTATTGAAATCTGGAAACTCCTTTAAAATGTGGTTAAGAAAAATTTGTATGACCTTTTCTCCATGGAGTTAACTCTCTGTCTTTTACTTCCTAGCTACTCATTAATTTGGGGACTGCATATATTAAGTTGTGTTTAGTCTATCCTTAATGAGTAGGGGTTTTTTTGTTTTTTTTCTTTATTTTAAACATATATATGCATAAATATACTTGATGAACGATATTATGAAATATTAACTCTCTTTGAGGCAAACTATAGCCATGTCTATATGACAACAGGTTCTGCGTCATCAGATCTGAAAAAAATCGATTAAAAAACTAACAGGGCCAAAGAAAGTATTGTTTCTAAGACACTGGAATCATTTATTTTTGTTTCTTTTTATTCAGATACTTTGGTTAAATGCAAATATGGCATATCCTTTCTAAAGTATCTTATTATTTTAATTAAAACACTAAGCAAACACATTATTAAAGACTAAGATGTGATTTTTAATACCTTTATAAAGAAAATTATTTCTAAGCATTTCTTTGTGGTTGCCTAAGTGAAACAATATTTTTTTAAGTTGTATCTTTTATCTCTCACTTTTACGATTTGTGACTATCTTTTCAGCAAGCAATAAAATGAATCATTACACAGGTCAAGTCAACAAACTGATATGGAATTCTTGTAAAGAGTGCAAATAAGAACATGTCCTAGCTTTTAGTTTTAAAGAGTGTATTATCCAATAATTAAAGGATTTTACTTTGTCCCAGACCTTACAATGAGAACACAAGGAAGATTGGGGCATTTTTCTGGTTCAGATGAACCACTTAAAGATTGTTAGTGGAGGAAACAATTGAGCTTAGAAGTCTTGGAACAAGGCTAGAAATGAAATTATGGATGAGGGGACAACATATGGGGTACTATTTTACTTAGAACTATATTCAAGCCAAAGACATTCCAAATGTAAGAGTTGGTAAAGCTGGAAAAGTCTAGGTCTTTTGCACAAAGAGAACTTATGTACAGAGCAATTTATGTGTATTATCTTAGTTTGCTTTCAGAGCAACCAATCCTGATACGTGCAGTGCCAAAAAAGGAAGCTTAGGCTTAACTAAATATTTATTCTCACAAGTCTACTGTAGAGTGCTAGAGCAGAGACCACAGAGTGCTTCTCTCCATAGGAGAAATTGGAGCAGTTCCCTTAGCAGTTCTTACAGCCTTCTTTACAGGTAACAGTCTGTTGCAAGGAGATGAGATCCACATCAGGCAGATGTCAAAACCATCCTGGCTTATTAGCCTTATCCTCACAGAAGATGATGTTTCCTTGTAACAACTCCATAGGCCTAGCTTCCAGGAACCAAATAAAACATTTAGAATTACAAGTCTGCATTTAGAAAAGCCCGAAGTTTGCTTTTCTGTTAGTATATATATGCAATTTATCAGTTGCAGATGCAGTTTATCAATCAGAGTTCACTTTTACCATAAACAATGTAGCCTAGAAACATAGTTAACATTTTTACCCTTTCAAGGTTGCCAGGGGATTACAGTTAGATAGTTGACTGAAGGTCAAATTTTTTAAACAAAAGGGAAAAACTGTATTTGTAAGCATGTTTAAGTCTAAGTATTTTCTGACAAAGAACATGATTCCTCAGAATAATTTGAAACATGCCTGAGTGTTCACAGCCAGTAAGTAAAGGACAGGAATTTACCTGAGTCTAAAAGGTCTGGTTTTCCACTGCACTACATTATAAAGGAGAAGTATTTAGTTGTTTGTCTCTGCAGCAGTGGGTTTTGACTATTAGTGAATTCCTTCAAATAAATCATATATTGTTTAGAAAGAACAATAATAACTAGTGTTTTTAAAATTATTATTTGTGCAGTTGACAACATCTATTCAACATGTTCCTTAAAGAAAAATCTCCCTAAGTCTGTGCTATATTTTGAACTAAGGTAACTGATAATTGATCAAAGCATTCAACTACTATGATATGTGATCAATTGCAATAAGACACTGGGAGTGCTTTCCGGGGTAGCTTAATGGGCAATGACATATTTGATATATGAAAAATCATACTTTTTTTAAAAAGGGATCTAATAGAAGTATGCAATGGTAAGTGATATTTTTGAAAGAGAATATATACATAAAAGACCACAGGTACGTAACAAAAATGAAACAATTTTGTTGATTTTTAACTAGAACTGTCTAGAAAAAATACATATTGTTTTTGTTATGCATCTTTATTTTTTCAAGCTGGCTACTGGTTGAATTTCTGGCATAATAAGCATAAATCAGCCATCTTCTTGCCTATCTTTGGCCATTTATTCCTTTCTTTGTTTTTTAGTGTAAATAGCTTGATTCCATGTTTTGAAAGAGCAACAACAAAGGTCTCAATCTTGAAATCTCCTTTGTATCTAATTGCCTTGCTCTTTTAATTTCCTGCTTGCTGCCTCTTAGGCCTCTTCCGCCACAAACCTATTCTCCATTCCATCATTTCTTACAACAGTGCAGTCCACGATGTTTTCAGTCCTAATCTAAGCAAACTACAATCGTCTGGCTGCTGTTCCTCTACCATTTTTATGGCCCACCCCTTACATTTACTTTCATCCCATTTTCAATGTAGTATCATGAGCCAAAAAAAAAAAAAAAAAAAAAAAAATTTCTTTGCCTTTAATTTTGGTAATTTGCAAAAAAAAAAGTATCTAGAGTGCTATTTTCAAGATATATTTGCAAATCATCTCTCATACATTCAAATACTTCGCTTCTGGTTGGAGAGGTTTTCATATAATATGATCCTAGGTATTGCCCATGAAATAGCAGAAATATATATAATTAGTATGTATAAATCATGTTGATTTAAAATGTATATCTGAAAAGTCCAAAAATGTGATTTCCAATGTACGTAAAAATGCCAAAGAGAAGATATATAATGACTGGTTAACATACAATTATTGGAATTTATGAAGAAACTAAAATATAAATATAATGTTTAAAAATATGTGATCATCATGCCCCTGTTTTTATGTTATATTTTTAAGATTCTTAAAAATACAGACCAAACTATTGTAAGGATTTTATCAAGTAAGACAGATTATTTTTTGCTCTGATAATCACTTTCTACAATGAGTGTCTTACAGTCACAGATACTATAGCTTGTTTAGTATTTTGAAATGGGAACATCTCTAGCAGTTTTGTTCATTTGGGTCACAGCTGTGCCATCTATTTGCATGTTTACCAAATGGTTACTGAATAACACATGCCTAAGAAAACTAAGCTTTTGCAAAAGCTTGTTAATATTTGCAGTCCTCAACTGAACTCGGAGCTCACAAATGGGCTTTTTGCAAAGGAGCCTGAATTCTTGGCAATGCTTGATAAATGTCAGTCAGTTTCTTTAGCCATCTGCAAATAAAGGTATATTAGACAATGATGACTTCATAACAGTCAAAGATGTATAATAATTAATCCAGGGACACCTGTGCACAGTTCCTTTTACAAAGCTATCACAGTGTATTATACTATAAAAATCATAAAGGATTTTTTAAAGAACAGATTTTATCTGATGTGCTAGCAAAGCTAAAGACGAAATAAGCTGCACTGATTATTGGTTATCTTTTACAGAGACTCACGTTGCGACATGTTAACAGTAACCAATGTCTCGATGAACCTTCTGAAGAAGACAAAATGGTGCCTACAATGCAGGACTGTAGTGGAAGCAGATCCCAACAGTGGCTGCTAAGGAACATGACCTTGGGCACATGAAGATCATGTCCTCCAAGCCATGAAAGTGTCTACGCTTTTGTTTTTCCATTATTTCAATTGGGGGAAAATATTAACTTTGCTGAATTGAAAGTTTTAAAAATCCTTTTAGTATTCTAAAACACAATTGTTTCTAATTCGTTTCTAGAAATGTTTGCTTATTTCCCTACTAAAATTTGTATCTGATCAAAGCACATAAGAATATAAATAATAGCAAACTACTATTAAACAACAGAACAACTTGTAAAACAAATTGTGTTTGCTTTAAGAAAAATGTTTATTGCACTCATGTCATAGGGTTAATTGGAGGTTATTTTATTTTTGGTTGTCATGGTGATTGAAAGAGATAATGTAAATGCCTTATAAAATCTTCATTATGAAATATTATCAGTTGCTTTATAAACTCACTCTTTTTATGGATCCTTCATGGAAACATGTTTGATTTCTGTGTCTACAACAGGGCCACATATTAAATTACTTCTGAATGGTGAATTCATCTTACAAAATGTTCCAAGTTTTGGACAAGGAAAAACATTACATTGGATATTGAATTCATGGAGCCTTTACAGAAGCATCACATTTAAACCAATGTGAATTCAAAAAAGAGAAGGAAACTTTTTAAATTCAATTTAGAGTACATAAAAAAAGAAATCCGCGAAGCATTGAGGGGAACAAGATGAGTCTAATCCGCAGCACTTCGATCACTGTGAGAGAACTCAAAGTGGGTTGCAATCATTCCTAACACAGGCTGAAACTAAACAATCTTGCTCCTAGAGTTTATGTTGGATACTCAATTCTTAACCAAAATCTTGGTCTCCACAAACTCTACCATCCCTTTTCTCTTCACTCTATAGACAGTGGCATGCCATTGATGCTGTACAGAATTGCAGGTGAAAGGGAGAATTTTAGACTTAATTTTTAACTCTATTGCACTTAAAGATTTTAGTTAGGTTACCACTGTCATTTTCATTTTCTATGTTAAAGAATACCTTTCAGTGCTGTGCTCCAGTATCTAAAAATTTTATCACCAGGGGAATAAACTCAATACACATTCATTAAACTTTTGTTGTAATTAAACTGCTATATATTGTTTGCCATATATTATGGCCCAAGGAATATAGTTATAATCAGGCTACATTCACATTTTCTTTTCTCATCTTAAAACCCTTTATGTTCAAAATACATTAGCAGAGGCCATGAAAGTGAAAAAAAATCAGATTTTTGCTAGTAAGTTTTTATATTTGACATCATTTTAAATGCTCAAAGAGTTGCCCTATATATGCATGTTATCCATTATAAATGCACTCAGCAGCTAAGAGAAATTTGAGAGGAAAAGTGGAAGAAGTGTTTTCTGGAGCAGAAGATTCCACTTCTTTGGTCCTCATCTTTACTTAAAAAGCTCTTATAGAAAGGATTAATCATTTTGACTGCATACAAACTATGTCTCTGACATGCACATACACTGCTTTATAATGAAAATGAGGACACTTTCTGATGGTCAGTAAAATCTTAAATGATTTTTGCCACTGGTATTCCTTCCTCTTTTGACTTTTTATTGGTACAACTGTAGGGAAGAATCTACAACCTGGAGCATTTCAGGTTTGCTCTTTAAATATAGACACCCCTCACCATGAGCTCTCTGTGAATCCGTGAATTTCCTAAAATTGTAAGCAAAATGTTGAATATCAGGGCATTTTTTTTTCTGAGGTGGGAGTATGTCACTCACAGCAAACTTGGAAAGAAGGCTATGACTCCCAAGAGGCAGTGAACCATTGCCTTAAATTAATAGCAGCCTCTCAAGTCCATTGAGGCCTCATGTAAAATTCCCATTTTTCATCTTTACACTCCTTTTCTCCCCTCATTTCCTCTTCTCCTTACTAAGGTAAAAAGACCCTGCACAGCATTATTACTTAAGTTGAAAAAGCTTCAACTCTCAAGGACTCATGTATACCATATGTTCCACTTATTGCTTTGTTAGTCAAAATGCATGTTATGTAGAAAATGGTCAATGGCAAATTTTTATAAATACAGCTACCCCATCAAAGCTGAACTTGAAACGTTTTAGCAGAATTTTAAATATGTGAAAGTTCATTGTGGTCATGGTGAGAAAACTAAAACTACATGAGTTTCATGTTAGAAAAGAATTTTTAAACAATCTTCAGATGGCTTGAACACGTGCCATTATAGTATCTAACAAAAAGTGGCATAAAATATTACAAAACATCCAACACTAGAAAGCAATGACTAACATTTAATTTGTTTACAAAAATGTTTATTGTCTTCAGTACAAAAAGTTAAAACCATGATTGGATTCATAATGCACTTGTCTTATCCCTTATTTATGGAGCTAGACTGACATATTTCAAACCAATCTCTTCTGTGGTCTTCTCCATCTCAGTTAATGCAACTTCAACCTTCCAGATGCTCAGGTCAAAAACTGAAAGTTGCTTTTGACTCCTCTATTTCTGTTTCAACTCTCGTCTAATCCAACAGCAAATCCCCTTGATGCTACCTTTGAAATATAACTAGAAAAGAATGACTTGCCACCATATCCACTAGGTGTCACTACCTCTAACCTTTTTAATCGCAATATGCTTATTATTTAGTTCCCTAATTTCCCAGTCCTTGTCTTGAACAATCTTTTCTCAGTACAACAGCCATAGTGATTCTGTTAACCATGAATTTGATTGTGTCACTTCCCTGCTCACAATCTTCCAATGACTTCTCCCTCCGGTGGCCTTCAAGGTCCTTTATGAGTGTTACCCCTCTACACGTCCACACCACTCACCACACATACATACACATGCACACACACACACATGCAATTCTACCTTTTTCTAACACCATCTCTTATCTCTCATTATTCTGCCTCTTACTTACCCTATTATGGCTCCCAAGAAAGTTCCTGCTTTAGTGTTTTGTTCCCTCTGCCCCAGAGAGCTCCCCTTAGTGATCTCAGTTCAAATATTATCTTATCAGTAAGACAAACCCTTCTCCCATCTGCCTTCCCTATCCCCTGTACCTGACAATCTATGAGTTTGCTTCTTTATTTCTGTCTATACTTCCCCCTCCCCAGCCCCAAACATGCCCATCACATGCCCTAGAAGGTAAGTCCCATGAAGGCAGGGGCTTTGTCAGTTTTGTTCATTTGGTATTTCTGGCATATATATTCTCTAAATATTTCTTGAATTAATGAACTGAAAAATGTGTGTTAAAGTTGCTAAGTGTAACTGTATCATACTTTTTTTGTATTTTAAATTTTAAAATAAAGGCTAATATATTTAGACAGGATTTCCAAAAACTTTGTCTTCAAATTTTAATTTTCTTCCTAATATTCTTCACATTAAACTATGGACTCTAATTTTCTGGATAAAATATCCTGCCTTATGGAAATGAAATATGAAATTTTATTAAAATGCTGCTATATTACATAAGTTGCTTCATTAAGCTAAAAATGGTTTTTATTTTTTGGTTGTGTCCAATGGCCACTTGAAGGTATAAGATTTTGACTTTCAGAGGAGAGATATCACTGTCTTAAAAATTATGTATTTTCATGATTTCTTAAGAACTATTACTAAATTTATCTTCTAAGTGCAGTCAATGGAATAAACACAGAGATTTTTAAAGGACTTTACAGATGACCTTGTCTTAGTTTCTCTGTTTATAGATAATAAGACTGAAACCCAGATATGTAATATAACTTTTCTAAGGATCATATATCTAAAGTGGTGTTGCCTGGACCCCTTATTGTTAATATAAACTAATACTGTCACTCAAAAAATTATAGAAATGGAACAATAATGGAAAAATATCTTCATTAAACATGTTATGGGGCCAGGCATGGTGGCTCACGCCTGTAATCCCAGCACTTTGGGAGGCTGAGGTGGGCGAATCACTTGAGTTCAGAACTGCGAGACCAGCCTGGCCAACATGACGAAACCCTGTCTCTACTAAAAATACAAAAATTAGCTGGATGTGGTGGCACGCACCTGTAATTCCAACTACTTGGGAGGCTGATGTGAGAGAATTGCTTGAACCTGGGAGGCAGAGGCTGCAGTGAGCCAGGATCACACCACTGCACTTCAGCCTCAAGACTGTCTCAAAAAAAAAAATTATGATTAGTATATTGATTCTTTAGAAATATTTAAATTCTTACTAGTCATTTAAATAAAATTAGTTCTTTAAAATAATACAAGCACTAAGACCTACAGCAGAAATAAACTAGAAACAGCATGATTACAGGAACATCCAAGCATCATTTGGCAAACTGGGTTTCAGGGAAGCAAAGCCTTTTCAGTAGTAACTAATGGAACATACTCACTTTCATTTTCCTTCTAATTATCTTCAGGTTAAAAGTAAGGTTTGGCCTACAGCTTGCACAGAGAATTAGACCACCTATTACTGTGAAGATTAGGTTCTATGTTATGGAGCTTCAAAGACTGCAGGGAAATCAGCAGAGATTTCTAGGCTTCCCAGTGGAGCTCTGTAAACTCTGGTAAACACAATCCATAAATTTGATTTTGCCATGGTGCTTAGAAACAGTCTAATAAAAAGGAAAAAAGTGTACAGAGAGAGAAAAATAACTACACTAAAACAGAACTGTTTTTACCTTTTTAAAAAATTTGGTGGGAGGTTAGGATCATATTCTGAATTAGTTCGGTAAACCTCAAAATACTGTCTCCCACCGCACATGGTTTCACCACTTAAGAAATGATGATCGTATCTGCTCACAACCATTTTACTTGCATCTCATTTACAGATGCTAAATCTAGTCTCAGAGGAGGCAAAACATGTATGCATTCTTAAGTTATAAAGTGTACTGATTTCACAAATATGAAGAATTTTAGAAATTCAAATTTTTAATGGATGTGTCACCATCTACAGCTGTCATCCTGCATGGCTGATATCTGCTGCAAATCTTGAATAAATTTCCAGTTCAGTTGGGCAGCAAAAACTCAATTAGCTCTAAAGGCAGCTTGTGTTTCAGGATTCCGCCACTGCCCATTTTCCCCAATATGTCAAAATATGGAATAGGTGAAATCAGCCCCTTATGTATAGTACATGGACACATCTGTTGTGACTACACCATGTTCGAACTGCTACTAAATATCAGCTATTGTATGAATTTATGGTGTTGAATGAGCACCAGCAATGTGTTTTAAATAATTTGTGTATATGTGTAGCCCAGTTTGTTTTATATTGGTCAATAAATTCTAAAGACAATTTTCACTGTATTTGTTTTAAAAGAAAAATCCCTCTGAAATACTGGTGAATTCAGGCAGCTCTTTTCTTAAGGATCCTTTAAGATAAAGACCACTTCTGCGATACTTGTGTTATGTTATATAAAGTTATTTTGTTTTTGTTTTTAGCTAGGGAGAACAAATCACTCAATATTCTGTTTTTAATGAGTTAGAATGAGAATGGAAAATTAGATGATTAAGGCTATATCTATAATGTTTTTTAAAAATGAGATTTTCATCATGCATTCCATTGGTGTGAAAACGAAAGTAAGCTGCTGCTTGGTTCCAGTTGTGCTGAAATTTCTGCTAAAAATAGCACAAGGGGGAAAAAAGAACTTGATGATTACATGTCTTTTTTTGTTTTTTTTTTTTTGTATTTCAGCTTTTTTTGTTTTGTTTTGTTTTGTTGTTGTTGTTGTTGTTGTTTTGGTCAGTGTAGCCACAGCTAGAAAGGAGTAATTTCAAAAATGTTTTAGATATATGCTTGGCACATGGTTCTTTAACATTTATAAAAGTAGATTGTGCATAATGACAGATTTTAAATACTGTAAGCATTATTAGATGATATAATTGTTCTTTTGCTGTAAATTTAAATATTCATACATTTTTGTAGAGTTAAAATATGCCAATTTAGTTTTCCTTTGGTATATATTGCCTTTTTGGAAAATAAATGGTTAACATTTCAAATAGATAAACAACGTCACTATTTTATGCTTAACCTCCATGTTTGTGGATTATTTAAATAAATGATTAAGTGCCTATGAATATCTCCTTGCACCAAGAAAATGTTGTGTTCCCAGTACAATTTTGTTATCAAAATATATAAAATAGAAACACTAAAATATGCATGATTTTAAAGCATTTATTTTTATTTATTTTTGATTCTGAAATGATTTGAGGTGGATTTTTTTTCTTTCTGTTTTATAAAAATGACTAAAAATAGAAAAATTTAAAAGTCTCACATCAATGATAAAAATTATTTTTCAGAATATAGACCATACCCAATACCTGGCTTCTGAGACTGGAATCCTAAGACAGTGTGTCAGGGTGAGAGAAGATGGAGAGAAGCTGCCCACTCCACAGCACAGCGCAGGATCAACTCTTCAGTCTTAACCACTAAGATAATCAAAAAGAGCATTTAATTTTCTAAGGTGGAGAAAGGAAGGAAGGGGAGGAAGAGGGAAGCAAGAATAAAGAAGAAGGAAAGGAAAGGAAAGGGAAGGGGAGGGGAGGGAAGGGAAGAGAGAAAGACGATGCTAATAATCTGTTTTCATAATTTTATTCTGAAGAGACTCATCTGAAAGTTCCTGTTCAGAAGTCCATTGATTTGCAAACATGAACACCTCGCTAGTTTTCCGCAACTTATAACTGTCAGCAAGTGTAAAGGACATTTCTAGATTTTGTCCCTTCTTGGCTTTCTGTAAACCAAGTGTGACTCCAGATACCCAACTCTGTTACTCTCTTTTCGGTTACTCTTGTCCACGCACAGCATACATTTCCAGCAGTAACCAGGTACTCAAGTATAACCTAATAAAGCAACCCCACCCACTTCAGGCTTTGATAGATCCATAACTTACCCTGTCTTGCTTTTCTTCAGCACCTGGTAGAAACAGAATGTGAGCTCTCATGCTCAGAACTGTGCTTTCGTCTTCCTCCTCAGCCAAGGAGACTCTTAGGTAGGCTTTCTGTTGACTCACTCATTTTCTGACATCATGAATTTTTTCCCCCGCAGGACAGAGGATATTAATCACCAATCTCTGCTTCCACTGTGGGAAAGAGGTGGTAGGTAGCCCACTGAAATTCTTTTGACAGAAGTCTCTTCACCAATTTTTTGAAGTGAAAAACTAGGTAAACATGCAAACATCTAAAACAGATTTTACAGTTTTCTCTGCAACACAAAACACCTGAACTTACTGCAGCAAGCACTCTATCTCCTACATGATAATATATATAAGGTGGAGGCTGTGAAATCAACATTGTCTAAACAATTGAGGTCAGAATTTAAAACACCCTTCCTTAAGACTAATGGGACCTGTGTTCTCAGCCCTGAGCCTGCAGCTTGCTTTCCCTATGTACCTGTGAAACGTTTTGGCTTTTAAACAACGACATGAAGTTAAGTTGCATATATAAAAGCACTTCAAATTTCTTCCTTTATTTATATGGACCAAAGGGGTGGAGAATCCATTTTTTCCCACATAGTTAGCTTTTTAAAACTCTAGTTTCCATTAGTGGATTTAGAATCATTTGCCTCAGCAGCTCACCAACTCCTCCTTTGGATATTCTTTCTTCATTTTTTGGTTTTCCTTCCACCTCATTGGCCATTGATTTCCAGTTTCCTTTGCTAAGCTTTCCCTTCTTTCTCCCATGTCTTAATATTGGAGTGCCTCGAGGTGCAGTCCTTGGCCTTCTCAATTTGCATTGACTCTTTGGTGATCTCATCCAGAAGCACATATTTCAATGTCTCCGATGCTGATGACTCCCAAATATCTCTATCCAGTTCAAAAACTGCCTACTTGACATCTACACTTGGATAACTAATAGACACCTGAAACTTGGTTTGTCCAAAACTTAACTTTTTGCCTTCTCCTACAAATCTGTTCAACCCAGAGATTTCCATCTCAGTTGATGGCAACTCCATTTTGCCAGCTGCTCAGGCCTAAAATCTTGGTATCCTTGAAATCTCTCTCTCCATTAGAAAATCTCCTTAATTCCACCTTCACAGTGTTTGCTGAATCTGACCACTTCTTAACACCTCAACTACTCCCATTCTGGTCTGTACCACCAACTAAATGATAGCCGGAGTCTCCTGACTGGTTTCCAAGTTGCTTCCACCCTTGCCTCCTCCATAGTCTGTTCTCAGAGAGAGCCTTAAATTTATATAAAAAAATTGTTTAAAAGAGAACCAGAATAATGATATAAAATGTAACTCAGATATGTCTCTCTTCTGCTCAAAACTATCCAGTGGCTTCCTGTTTTGCATAAAGTAAAAGGCTATGTCCTTATAAAAGCCAACAACACTGCATGCTGATCTGGCCCCTGTTAACTCTCTGACCTCCTCCCATACAATGTTTCCCCTTATTCACTTCATCCCAAGCACTGTGTCCATGCCTGAACAAGCCAGGCATGTCTTTGGTTTAGGGCCTCTACCTGGAATACTTGTTCCTAGATGTCTACATGGGAACTCATTAGCCTTGATCACAACTAAATTCTCTATGAGATCCCCCATCTACTCTTTGTAATACTGTAGTCTAATTTACTTAGTTATCACTTTTAATGCTTAGTTGTTTATTGCTTCTCTCTCTCTACCCCTCACCCCTACCAAGCACCCTCACCCCTTGAATAAAAGGTACTGCAAAACAGGAATCTTAATTTCATTGTGATATACTGCAAGTATCTAGAATAATACCTGGCACGTTCTAGGCACCCAATACATATGTGTTGAGTATCAAGTGAATTTCCATCTTTCCTTTCTATTGGTGCATTGTATTCCATGCAAGGGACTTGGGAGTTGGTGGGAAAAGGGTTG